>NC_000018.10:18843894-19013412 GCF_000001405.40 Homo sapiens
ATCTAGACAGAAGCATTCTCAGAAACTTCTTCGGGATGTTTGCATTCAAGTCACAGAGTAGAACATTCCCTTTGGTAGAGCAGGTTTGAAACACTCTTTTTGTAGTGTGTGTAAGTGGACATTTGGAGCGCTTTCTGGCCTACGTTGGAAAAGGAAATATCTTCCCATAACAACTAGACAGAAGCATTCTCAGAAACTAGTTTCTGATGTGTGTCCTCAACTAACACAGTTGAACATTTCTTTAGACAGAACAGTTTTGAAACACTCTTTTTGTGGAATCTGCAAGTGGATATTTGGCTAGATTTGAGGATTTCGTTGGAAACGGGATTACATATAAAAAGCAGACAGCAGCATTCTCAGAAAGTTCTTTGTGATGATTGCATTCAAGTCACAGAATTGAACATTCCCTTTCACAGAGCAGGTTTGAAACACTCTTTTTGTAGTGTGTGTAAGTGGACATTTGGAGCGCTTTCCGGCCTAAGGTGAAAAAGGAAATATCTTCCCATAAAAACTAGACAGAAGCATCCTCAGAAACTTACTCGTGATGTGTGTCCTCAACTAAAGGAGTAGAACCTTTCTATTCATAGAGAAGTTTTGAAACGCTCTTTTTGTGGAATCTCCAAGTGGATATTTGGCTAGTTTTGAGGATTTCGTTGGAAGCGGGAATTCATCCAAATTGCAGACTGCAGCGTTCTGAGAAACATCTTTGTGATGTTTGTATTCAGGACAGAGAGTTGAACATTCCCTATCATAGAGCAGGTTGGAATCACTCCTTTTGTAGTATCTGGAAGTGGACATTTGGAGCGCTTTCAGGCCTATGTTGAAAAAGGAAATATCTTCCCATAACAACTAGACACAAGCATTCTCAGAAACTTGTTTGTGATGTGTGCCCTCTACTGACAGAGTTGAACCTTTCTTTTCATAGAGCAGTTTTGAAACACTCTTTTATAGAATCCGCAAGAGGATATTTGCATAGCTTTGAGGATTTCGTGGGAAACGGGATTGTCTTCAGGTAAAATCTAGACAGAAGCATTCTCAGAAACTTCTTTGGGATGTTTGCATTCAAGTCACAGAGTAGAACATTCCCTTTGGTAGAGCAGGTTTGAAACACTCTTTTTGTAGTATCTGGAAGTGGACATTTGGAGCGCTTTCAGGCCCATGTTGGAAAGGGAAATATCTTCCCGTAACAACTAGGCAGAAGCATTCTCAGAAACTTATTTGAGATGTGTGTACTCAAGTAAGAGAACTGAACCACCGTTTTGAAGGGGCAGTTTTGAAACACTCTTTTTCTGGAATCTGCAAGAGTATATTTGCCTAGCCTTGAGGATTTCGTTGGAAACGGGATTGTCTTCAGATAAAATCTAGACAGAAGCATTCTCAGAAACTTCTTTGGGATGTTTGCATTCAAGTCACAGAGTAGAACATTCCCTTTGGTAGAGCAGGTTTGAAACACTCTTTTTTTAGTATATGGAAGTGGACATTTGGAGCGCTTTCAGGCCTACGTTGGAAAAGGAAATATCTTCCCATAACAACTAGACAGAAGCATTCTCACAAACTAGTTTCTGATGTGTGTCCTCAACTAACACAGTTGAACATTTCTTTAGACAGAACAGTTTTGAAACACTCTTTTTGTGGAATCTGCAAGTGGCTATTTTGCTAGATTTGAGGATTTCGTTGGAAACGGGATTACATATAAAAAACAGACAGCAGCATTCTCAGAAAGTTCTTTGTGATGATTGCATTCAAGTCACAGAATTGAACATTCCCTTTCACAGAGCAGGTTTGAAACACTCTTTTTGTAGTGTGTGTAAGTGGACATTTGGAGCACTTTCCGGCCTAAGGTGAAAAAGGAAATATCTTCCCATAAAAACTAGACAGAAGCATTCTCAGAAACTTACTCGTGATGTGTGTCCTCAACTAAAGGAGTAGAACCTTCCTTTTCATAGAGAAGTTTTGAAACGCTCTTTTTGTGGAATCTGCAAGTGGATATTTGGCTAGTTTTGAGGATTTCCGTTGGAAGCGGGAATTCATACAAATTGCAGACTGCAGCATTCTCAGAAACTTGTTTATGCTGTATCTACTCAACTAACAAAGTTGAACCTTTCTTTTGATAGAGCAGTTTTGAAATGCTCTTTTTGTGGAATCTGCAAGTGGATATTTGGCTAGTTTGGAGGATTTCGTTGGAAGCGGGAATTCATACAAATTGCAGACTGCAGCGTTCTGAGAAACATTTTTGTGATGTTTGTATTCAGGACAGAGAGTTGAACATTCCCTATCATAGAGCAGGTTGGAATCACTCCTTTTGTAGTATCTGGAAGTGGACATTTGGAGCGCTTTCAGGCCTATGTTGAAAAAGGAAATATCTTCCCATAACAACTAGACACAAGCATTCTCAGAAACTTGTTTGTGATGTGTGCCCTCTACTGACAGAGTTGAACCTTTCTTTTCATAGAGCAGTTTTGAAACACTCTTTTTGTAGAATCTGCAAGAGGATATTTGCATAGCTTTGAGGATTTCGTGGGAAACGGGATTGTCTTCAGGTAAAATCTAGACAGAAGCATTCTCAGAAACTTCTTTGGGATGTTTGCATTCAAGTCACAGAGCAGAACATTCCCTTTGGTAGAGCAGGTTTGAAACACTCTTTTTGTAGTATCTGGAAGTGGACATTTGGAGCGCTTTCAGGCCTATGTTGGAAAGGGAAATATCTTCCCGTAACAACTAGGCAGAAGCACTCTCAGAAACTTATTTGAGATGTGTGTACTCAACTAAGAGAATTGAACCACCGTTTTGAAGGAGCAGTTTTGAAACACTCTTTTTCTGGAATCTGCAAGAGGATATTTGCCTAGCCTTGAGGATTTCGTTGGAAACGGGATTGTCTTCAGATCAAATCTAGACAGAAGCATTCTCAGAAACTTCTTTGGGATGTTTGCATTCAAGTCACAGAGTAGAACATTCCCTTTGGTAGAGCAGGTTTGAAACACTCTTTTTTTAGTATATGGAAGTGGACATTTGGAGCGCTTTCAGGCCTACGTTGGAAAAGGAAATATCTTCCCATAACAACTAGACAGAAGCATTCTCAGAAACTAGTTTCTGATGTGTGTCCTCAACTAACACAGTTGAACATTTCTTTAGACAGAACAGTTTTGAAACACTCTTTTTGTGGAATCTGCAAGTGGCTATTTGGCTAGATTTGAGGATTTCGTTGGAAACGGGATTACATATAAAAAGCAGACAGCAGCATTCTCAGAAAGTTCTTTGTGATGATTGCATTCAAGTCACAAAATTGAACATTCCCTTTCACAGAGCAGGTTTGAAACACTCTTTTTGTAGTGTGTGTAAGTGGACATTTGGAGCACTTTCCGGCCTAAGGTGAAAAAGGAAATATCTTCCCATAAAAACTAGACAGAAGCATTCTCAGAAACTTACTCGTGATGTGTGTCCTCAACTAAAGGAGTAGAACCTTTCTTTTCATAGAGAAGTTTTGAAACGCTCTTTTTGTGGAATCTGCAAGTGGATATTTGGCTAGTTTGGAGGATTTCGTTGGAAGCGGGAATTCATACAAATTGCAGACTGCAGCGTTCTGAGAAACATCTTTGTGATGTTTGTATTCAGGACACAGAGTTGAACATTCCCTATCATAGAGCAGGTTGGAATCACTCCTTTTGTAGTATCTGGAAGTGGACATTTGGAGCGCTTTCAGGCCTATGTTGGAAAAGGAAATATCTTCCCATAACAACTAGACAGAAGCATTCTCAGAAACTTATTTGAGATGTGTGTACTCAACTAAGAGAATTGAACCACCGTTTTGAAGGAGCAGTTTTGAAACACTCTTTTTCTGGAATCTGCAAGAGTATATTTGCCTAGCCTTGAGGATTTCGTTGGAAACGGGATTGTCTTCAGAGAAAATCTAGACAGAAGCATTCTCAGAAACTTCTTTGGGATGTTTGCATTCAAGTCACAGAGTAGAACATTCCCTTTGGTAGAGCAGGTTTGAAACACTCTTTTTGTAGTATCTGGAAGTGGACATTTGGAGCGCTTTCAGGCCTACGTTGGAAAAGGAAATATCTTCCCATAACAACTAGACAGAAGCATTCTCAGAAACTAGTTTCTGATGTGTGTCCTCAACTAACACAGTTGAACATTTCTTTAGACAGAACAGTTTTGAAACACTCTTTTTGTGGAATCTGCAAGTGGCTATTTGGCTAGATTTGAGGATTTCGTTGGAAACGGGATTACATATAAAAAGCAGTCAGCAGCATTCTCAGAAAGTTCTTTGTGATGATTGCATTCAAGTCACAGAATTGAACATTCCCTTTCACAGAGCAGGTTTGAAACACTCTTTTTGTAGTGTGTGTAAGTGGACATTTGGAGCACTTACCGGCCTAAGGTGAAAAAGGAAATATCTTCCCATAAAAACTAGACAGAAGCATTCTCAGAAACTTACTCGTGATGTGTGTCCTCAACTAAAGGAGTAGAACCTTTCTTTTCATAGAGAAGTTTTGAAACGCTCTTTTTGTGGAATCTGCAAGTGGATATTTGGCTAGTTTTGAGGATTTCGTTGGAAGCGGGAATTCATACAAATTGCAGACTGCAGCGTTCTGAGAAACATCTTTGTGATGTTTGTATTCAGGACACAGAGTTGAACATTCCCTATCATAGAGCAGGTTGGAATCACTCCTTTTGTAGTATCTGGAAGTGGACATTTGGAGCGCTTTCAGGCCTATGTTGGAAAAGGAAATATCTTCCCATAACAACTAGACAGAAGCATTCTCAGAAACTTATTTGAGATGTGTGTACTCAACTAAGAGAATTGAACCACCGTTTTGAAGGAGCAGTTTTGACACACTCTTTTTCTGGAATCTGCAAGTGGATATTTGGCTAGCTTTGGGGATTTCGCTGGAAGCGGGAATACATATAAAAAGCACACAGCAGCGTTCTGAGAAACTGCTTTCTGATGTTTGCATTCAAGTCAAAAGTTGAACACTCCCTTTCATAGAGCAGTCTTGAAACACCCCTTTTGTAGTATCTGGAACTGGACTTTTGGAGCGATTTCAGGGCTAAGGTGAAAAAGGAAATATCTTCCCATAAAAACTGGACAGAAGCATTCTCAGAAACTTGGTTATGCTGTATCTACTCAACTAACAAAGTTGAACCTTTCTTTTGATAGAGCAGTTTTGAAATGGTCTTTTTGTGGAATCTGCAAGTGGATATTTGGCTAGTTTTGAGGATTTCGTTGGAAGCGGGAATTCATACAAATTGCAGACTGCCAGCGTTCTGAGAAACATCTTTGTGATGTTTGTATTCAGGACACAGAGTTGAACATTCCCTATCATAGAGCAGGTTTGAATCACTCCTTTTGTAGTATCTGGAAGTGGACATTTGGAGCGCTTTCAGGCCTATGTTGGAAAAGGAAATATCTTCCCATAACAACTAGACAGAGCATTCTCAGAAACTTATTTGAGATGTGTGTACTCAACTAAGAGAATTGAACCACCGTTTTGAAGGAGCAGTTTTGAAACTCTCTTTTTCTGGAATCTGCAAGTGGATATTTGGCTAGCTTTGGGGATTTCGCTGGAAGCGGGAATACATATAAAAAGCACACAGCAGCGTTCTGAGAAACTGCTTTCTGATGTTTGCATTCAAGTCAAAAGTTGAACACTCCCTTTCATAGAGCAGTCTTGAAACACCCCTTTTGTAGTATCTGGAACTGGACTTTTGGAGCGATTTCAGGGCTAAGGTGAAAAAGGAAATATCTTCCCATAAAAACTGGACAGAAGCATTCTCAGAAACTTGGTTATGCTGTATCTACTCAACTAACAAAGTTGAACCTTTCTTTTGATAGAGCAGTTTTGAAATGGTCTTTTTGTGGAATCTGCAAGTGGATATTTGGCTAGTTTTGAGGATTTCGTTGGAAGCGGGAATTCATACAAATTGCAGACTGCAGCGTTCTGAGAAACATCTTTGTGATGTTTGTATTCAGGACACAGAGTTGAACATTCCCTATCATAGAGCAGGTTGGAATCACTCCTTTTGTAGTATCTGGAAGTGGACATTTGGAGCGCTTTCAGGCCTATTTTGGAAAGGGAAATATCTTCCCGTAACAACTATGCAGAAGCATTCTCAGAAACTTGTTTGTGATGTGTGCCCTCTACTGACAGAGTTGAACCTTTCTTTTCATAGAGCAGTTTTGAAACACTCTTTTTGTAGAATCTGCAAGAGGATATTTGCATAGCTTTGAGGATTTCGTGGGAAACGGGATTGTCTTCAGGTAAAATCTAGACAGAAGCATTCTCAGAAACTTCTTTGGGATGTTTGCATTCAAGTCACAGAGTAGAACATTCCCTTTGGTAGAGCAGGTTTGAAACACTCTTTTTGTAGTATCTGGAAGTGGACATTTGGAGCGCTTTCAGGCCTATGTTGGAAAGGGAAATATCTTCCCGTAACAACTAGGCAGAAGCATTCTCAGAAACTTATTTGAGATGTGTGTACTCAACTAAGAGAATTGAACCACCGTTTTGAAGGAGCAGTTTTGAAACACTCTTTTTCTGGAATCTGCAAGAGGATATTTGCCTAGCTTTGAGGATTTCGTTGGAAACGGGATTGTCTTCAGATCAAATCTAGACAGAAGCATTCTCAGAAACTTCTTTGGGATGTTTGCATTCAAGTCACAGAGTAGAACATTCCCTTTGGTAGAGCAGGTTTGAAACACTCTTTTTTTAGTATATGGAAGTGGACATTTGGAGCGCTTTCAGGCCTACGTTGGAAAAGGAAATATCTTCCCATAACAACTAGACAGAAGCATTCTCAGAAACTAGTTTCTGATGTGTGTCCTCAACTAACACAGTTGTACATTTCTTTAGACAGAATAGTTTTGAAACACTCTTTTTGTGGAATCTGCAAGTGGATATTTGGCTAGATTTGAGGATTTCGTTGGAAACGGGATTACATATAAAAAGCAGTCAGCAGCATTCTCAGAAAGTTCTTTGTGATGATTGCATTCAAGTCACAGAATTGAACATTCCCTTTCACAGAGCAGGTTTGAAACACTCTTTTTGTAGTGTGTGTAAGTGGACATTTGGAGTGCTTTCCGGCCTAAGGTGAAAAAGGACATATCTTCCCATAAAAACTAGACAGAAGCATTCTCAGAAACTTACTCGTGATGTGTGTCCTCAACTAAAGGAGTAGAACCTTTCTATTCATAGAGAAGTTTTGAAACGCTCTTTTTGTGGAATCTCCAAGTGGATATTTGGTTAGTTTTGAGGATTTCGTTGGAAGCGGGAATTCATACAAATTGCAGACTGCAGCGTTCTGAGAAACATCTTTGTGATGTTTGTATTCAAGACACAGAGATGAACATTCCCTATCATAGAGCATGTTGGAATCACTCCTTTTGTACTATCTGGAAGTGGACATTTGGAGCGCTTTCAGGCCTATGTTGAAAAAGGAAATATCTTCCCATAACAACTAGACACAAGCATTCTCAGAAACTTGTTTGTGATGTGTGCCCTCTACTGACAGAGTTGAACCTTTCTTTTCATAGAGCAGTTTTGAAACACTCTTTTTGTAGAATCCGCAAGAGGATATTTGCATCGCTTTGAGGATTTCGTGGGAAACGGGATTGTCTTCAGGTAAAATCTAGACAGAAGCATTCTCAGAAACTTCTTTGGGATGTTTGCATTCAAGTCACAGAGTAGAACATTCCCTTTGGTAGAGCAGGTTTGAAACACTCTTTTTGTAGTATCTGGAAGTGGACATTTGGAGCGCTTTCAGGCCCATGTTGGAAAGGGAAATATCTTCCCGTAACAACTAGGCAGAAGCATTCTCAGAAACTTATTTGAGATGTGTGTACTCAACTAAGAGAATTGAACCACCGTTTTGAAGGAGCAGTTTTGAAACACTCTTTTTCTGGAATCTGCAAGAGTATATTTGCCTAGCCTTGAGGATTTCTTTGGAAACGGGATTGTCTTCAGAGAAAATCTAGACAGAAGCATTCTCAGAAACTTCTTTGGGATGTTTGCATTCAAGTCACAGAGTAGAACATTCCCTTTGGTAGAGCAGGTTTGAAACACTCTTTTTTTAGTATATGGAAGTGGACATTTGGAGCGCTTTCAGGCCTACGTTGGAAAAGGAAATATCTTCCCATAACAACTAGACAGAAGCATTCTCAGAAACTAGTTTCTGATGTGTGTCCTCAACTAACACAGTTGAACATTTCTTTAGACAGAACAGTTTTGAAACACTCTTTTTGTGGAATCTGCAAGTGGCTATTTGGCTAGATTTGAGGATTTCGTTGGAAACGGGATTACATATAAAAAGCAGACAGCAGCATTCTCAGAAAGTTCTTTGTGATGATTGCATTCAAGTCACAGAATTGAACATTCCCTTTCACAGAGCAGGTTTGAAACACTCTTTTTGTAGTGTGTGTAAGTGGACATTTGGAGCACTTTCCGGCCTAAGGTGAAAAAGGAAATATCTTCCCATAAAAACTAGACAGAAGCATTCTCAGAAACTTACTCGTGATGTGTGTCCTCAACTAAAGGAGTAGAACCTTTCTTTTCATAGAGAAGTTTTGAAACGCTCTTTTTGTGGAATCTGCAAGTGGATATTTGGCTAGTTTGGAGGATTTCGTTGGAAGCGGGAATTCATACAAATTGCAGACTGCAGCGTTCTGAGAAACATCTTTGTGATGTTTGTATTCAGGACACAGAGTTGAACATTCCCTATCATAGAGCAGGTTGGAATCACTCCTTTTGTAGTATCTGGAAGTGGACATTTGGAGCGCTTTCAGGCCTATGTTGGAAAAGGAAATATCTTCCCATAACAACTAGACAGAAGCATTCTCAGAAACTTATTTGAGATGTGTGTACTCAACTAAGAGAATTGAACCACCGTTTTGAAGGAGCAGTTTTGAAACACTCTTTTTCTGGAATCTGCAAGTGGATATTTGGCTAGCTTTGGGGATTTCGCTGGAAGCGGGAATACATATAAAAAGCACACAGCAGCGTTCTGAGAAACTGCTTTCTGATGTTTGCATTCAAGTCAAAAGTTGAACACTCCCTTTCATAGTGCAGTCCTGAAACACTCCTTTTGTAGTATCTGGAACTGGACTTTTGGAGCGCTTTCAGGGCTAAGGTGAAAAAGGAAATATCTTCCCATAAAAACTGGACAGAAGCATTCTCAGAAACTTGTTTATGCTGTATCTACTCAACTAACAAAGTTGAACCTTTCTTTTGATAGAGCAGTTTTGAAATGCTCTTTTTGTGGAATCTGCAAGTGGATATTTGGCTAGTTTTGAGGATTTCGTTGGAAGCGGGAATTCATACAAATTGCAGACTGCAGCGTTCTGAGAAACATCTTTGTGATGTTTGTATTCACGACAGAGAGTTGAACATTCCCTATCATAGAGCAGGTTGGAATCACTCCTTTTGTAGTATCTGGAAGTGGACATTTGGAGCGCTTTCTGGCCTATGTTGAAAAAGGAAATATCTTCCCATAACAACTAGACACAAGCATTCTCAGAAACTTGTTTGTGATGTGTGCCCTCTACTGACAGAGTTGAACCTTTCTTTTCATAGAGCAGTTTTGAAACACTCTTTTTGTAGAATCTGCAAGAGGATATTTGCATAGCTTTGAGGATTTCGTGGGAAACGGGATTGTCTTCAGGTAAAATCTAGACAGAAGCATTCTCAGAAACTTCTTTGGGATGTTTGCATTCAAGTCACAGAGTAGAACATTCCCTTTGGTAGAGCAGGTTTGAAACACTCTTTTTGTAGTATCTGGAAGTGGACATTTGGAGCGCTTTCAGGCCTATGTTGGAAAGGGAAATATCTTCCGGTAACAACTAGGCAGAAGCATTCTCAGAAACTTATTTGAGATGTGTGTACTCAACTAAGAGAATTGAACCACCGTTTTGAAGGAGCAGTTTTGAAACACTCTTTTTCTGGAATCTGCAAGAGGATATTTGCCTAGCCTTGAGGATTTCGTTGGAAACGGGATTGTCTTCAGATCAAATCTAGACAGAAGCATTCTCAGAAACTTCTTTGGGATGTTTGCATTCAAGTCACAGAGTAGAACATTCCCTTTGGTAGAGCAGGTTTGAAACACTCTTTTTTTAGTATATGGAAGTGGACATTTGGAGCGCTTTCAGGCCTACGTTGGAAAAGGAAATATCTTCCCATAACAATTAGACAGAAGTATTCTCAGAAACTAGTTTCTGATGTGTGTCCTCAACTAACACAGTTGAACATTTCTTTAGACAGAACAGTTTTGAAACTCTCTTTTTGTGGAATCTGCAAGTGGCTATTTGGCTAGATTTGAGGATTTCGTTGGAAACGGGATTACATATAAAAAGCAGACAGCAGCATTCTCAGAACGTTCTTTGTGATGATTGCATTCAAGTCACAGAATTGAACATTCCCTTTCACAGAGCAGGTTTGAAACACTCTTTTTGTAGTGTGTGTAAGTGGACTTTTGGAGCACTTTCCGGCCTAAGGTGAAAAAGGAAATATCTTCCCATAAAAACTAGACAGAAGCATTCTCAGAAACTTACTCGTGATGTGTGTCCTCAACTAAAGGAGTAGAACCTTTCTTTTCATAGAGAAGTTTTGAAACGCTCTTTTTGTGGAATCTGCAAGTGGATATTTGGCTAGTTTGGAGGATTTCGTTGGAAGCGGGAATTCATACAAATTGCAGACTGCAGCGTTCTGAGAAACATCTTTGTGATGTTTGTATTCAGGACACAGAGTTGAACATTCCCTATCATAGAGCAGGTTGGAATCACTCCTTTTGTAGTATCTGGAAGTGGACATTTGGAGCGCTTTCAGGCCTATGTTGAAAAAGGAAATATCTTCCCATAACAACTAGACAGAAGCATTCTCAGAAACTTGTTTGTGATGTGTGCCCTCTACTGACAGAGTTGAACCTTTCTTTTCATAGAGCACTTTTGAAACACTCTTTTTGTAGAATCTGCAAGAGGATATTTGCATAGCTTTGAGGATTTCGTGGGAAACGGGATTGTCTTCAGGTAAAATCTAGACAGAAGCATTCTCAGAAACTTCTTTGGGATGTTTGCATTCAAGTCACAGAGTAGAACATTCCCTTTGGTAGAGCAGGTTTGAAACCCTCTTTTTGTAGTATCTGGAAGTGGACATTTGGAGCGCTTTCAGGCCCATGTTGGAAAGGGAAATATCTTCCCGTAACAACGAGGCAGAAGCATTCTCAGAAACTTATTTGAGATGTGTGTACTCAACTAAGAGAATTGAACCACCGTTTTGAAGGAGCAGTTTTGAAACACTCTTTTTCTGGAATCTGCAAGAGTATATTTGCCTAGCCTTGAGGATTTCGTTGGAAACGGGATTGTCTTCAGAGAAAATCTAGACAGAAGCATTCTCAGAAACTTCTTTGGGATGTTTGCATTCAAGTCACAGAGTAGAACATTTACTTTGGTAGAGCAGGTTTGAAACACTCTTTTTGTAGTGTGTGTAAGTGGACATTTGGAGCGCTTTCAGGCCTACGTTGGAAAAGCAAATGTCTTCCCATAACAACTAGACAGAAGCATTCTCAGAAACTAGTTTCTGATGTGTGTCCTCAACTAACACAGTTGAACATTTCTTTAGACAGAACAGTTTTGAAACACTCTTTTTGTGGAATCTGCAAGTGGCTATTTGGCTAGATTTGAGGATTTCGTTGGAAACGGGATTACATATAAAAAGCAGTCAGCAGCATTCTCAGAAAGTTCTTTGTGATGATTGCATTCAAGTCACAGAATTGAACATTCCCTTTCCCAGAGCAGGTTTGAAACACTCTTTTTGTAGTGTGTGTAAGTGGACATTTGGAGCACTTACCGGCCTAAGGTGAAAAAGGAAATATCTTCCCATAAAAACTAGACAGAAGCATTCTCAGAAACTTACTCGTGATGTGTGTCCTCAACTAAAGGAGTAGAACCTTTCTTTTCATAGAGAAGTTTTGAAACGCTCTTTTTGTGGAATCTGCAAGTGGATATTTGGCTAGTTTTGAGGATTTCGTTGGAAGCGGGAATTCATACAAATTGCAGACTGCAGCGTTCTGAGAAACATCTTTGTGATGTTTGTATTCAGGACAGAGAGTTGAACATTCCCTATCATAGAGCAGGTTGGAATCACTCCTTTTGTAGTATCTGGAAGTGGACATTTGGAGCGCTTTCAGGCCTATGTTGAAAAAGGAAATATCTTCCCATAACAACTAGACACAAGCATTCTCAGAAACTTATTTGAGATGTGTGTACTCAACTAAGAGAATTGAACCACCGTTTTGAAGGAGCAGTTTTGAAACACTCTTTTTCTGGAATCTGCAAGTGGATATTTGGCTAGCTTTGGGGATTTCGCTGGAAGCGGGAATACATATAAAAAGCACACAGCAGCGTTCTGAGAAACTGCTTTCTGATGTTTGCATTCAAGTCAAAAGTTGAACACTCCCTTTCATAGAGCAGTCCTGAAACACTCCTTTTGTAGTATCTGGAACTGGACTTTTGGAGCGCTTTCAGGGCTAAGGTGAAAAAGGAAATATCTTCCCATAAAAACTGGACAGAAGCATTCTCAGAAACTTACTCGTATTGTGTGTCCTCAACTAAAGGAGTAGAACCTTTCTTTTCATAGAGAAGTTTTGAAACGCTCTTTTTGTGGAATCTGCAAGTGGATATTTGGCTAGTTTTGAGGATTTCGTTGGAAGCGGGAATTCATACAAATTGCAGACTGCAGCATTCTCAGAAACTTATTTGAGATGTGTGTACTCAACTAAGAGAATTGAACCACCGTTTTGAAGGAGCAGTTTTGAAACTCTCTTTTTCTGGAATCTGCAAGTGGATATTTGGCTAGCTTTGGGGATTTCGCTGGAAGCGGGAATACATATAAAAAGCACACAGCAGCGTTCTGAGAAACTGCTTTCTGATGTTTGCATTCAAGTCAAAAGTTGAACACTCCCTTTCATAGAGCAGTCTTGAAACACCCCTTTTGTAGTATCTGGAACTGGACTTTTGGAGCGATTTCAGGGCTAAGGTGAAAAAGGAAATATCTTCCCATAAAAACTGGACAGAAGCATTCTCAGAAACTTGTTTATGCTGTATCTACTCAACTAACAAAGTTGAACCTTTCTTTTGATAGAGCAGTTTTGAAATGGTCTTTTTGTGGAATCTGCAAGTGGATATTTGGCTAGTTTTGAGGATTTCGTTGGAAGCGGGAATTCATACAAATTGCAGACTGCAGCGTTCTGAGAAACATCTTTGTGATGTTTGTATTCAGGACACAGAGTTGAACATTCCCTATCATAGAGCAGGTTGGAATCACTCCTTTTGTAGTATCTGGAAGTGGACATTTGGAGCGCTTTCAGGCCTATTTTGGAAAGGGAAATATCTTCCCGTAACAACTATGCAGAAGCATTCTCAGAAACTTGTTTGTGATGTGTGCCCTCTACTGACAGAGTTGAACCTTTCTTTTCATAGAGCAGTTTTGAAACACTCTTTTTGTAGAATCTGCAAGAGGATATTTGCATAGCTTTGAGGATTTCGTGGGAAACGGGATTGTCTTCAGGTAAAATCTAGACAGAAGCATTCTCAGAAACTTCTTTGGGATGTTTGCATTCAAGTCACAGAGTAGAACATTCCCTTTGGTAGAGCAGGTTTGAAACACTCTTTTTGTAGTATATGGAAGTGGACATTTGGAGCGCTTTCAGGCCTACGTTGGAAAAGGAAATATCTTCCCATAACAACTAGACAGAAGCATTCTCAGAAACTAGTTTCTGATGTGTGTCCTCAACTAACACAGTTGAACATTTCTTTAGACAGAACAGTTTTGAAACACTCTTTTTGTGGTATCTGCAAGTGGCTATTTGGCTAGATTTGAGGATTTCGTTGGAAACGGGATTACATATAAAAAGCAGACAGCAGCATTCTCAGAAACTTCTTTGTGATGATTGCATTCAAGTCACAGTATTGAACATTCCCTTTCACAGAGCAGGTTTGAAACACTCTTTGTATAGTGTGTGTAAGTGGACATTTGGAGCACTTTCCGGCCTAAGGTGAAAAAGGAAATATCTTCCCATAAAAACTAGACAGAAGCATTCTCAGAAACTTACTCGTGATGTGTGTCCTCAACTAAAGAAGTAGAACCTTTCTTTTCATAGATAAGTTTTGAAACGCTCTTTTTGTGGAATCTGCAAGTGGATATTAGGCTAGTTTTGAGGATTTCGTTGGAAGCGGGAATTCATACAAATTGCAGACTGCAGCGTTCTGAGAAACATCTTTGTGATGTTTGTATTCAGGACACAGAGTTGAACATTCCCTATCATAGAGCAGGTTGGAATCACTCCTTTTGTAGTATCTGGAAGTGGACATTTGGAGCGCTTTCAGGCCTATGTTGAAAAAGGAAATATCTTCCCATAACAACTAGACACAAGCATTCTCAGAAACTTATTTGAGATGTGTGTACTCAACTAAGAGAATTGAACCACCGTTTTGAAGGAGCAGTTTTGAAACACTCTTTTTCTGGAATCTGCAAGTGGATATTTGGCTAGCTTTGGGGATTTCGCTGGAAGCGGGAATACATATAAAAAGCACACAGCAGCGTTCTGAGAAACTGCTTTCTGATGTTTGCATTCAAGTCAAAAGTTGAACACCCCCTTTCATAGAGCAGTCTTGAAACACCCCTTTTGTAGTATCTGGAACTGGACATTTGGAGCGCTTTCAGGGCAAAGGTGAAAAAGGAAATATCTTCCCATAAAAACTGGACAGAAGCATTCTCAGAAACTGGTTTATGCTGTATCTACTCAACTAACAAAGTTGAACCTTTCTTTTGATAGAGCAGTTTTGAAATGCTTTTTTTGTGGAATCTGCAAGTGGATATTTGGCTAGGTTTGAGGATTTCGTTGGAAGCGGGAATTCATACAAATTGCAGACTGCAGCGTTCTGAGAAACATCTTTGTGATGTTTGTATTCAGGACAGAGAGTTGAACATTCCCTATCATAGAGCAGGTTGGAATCACTCCTTTTGTAGTATCTGGAAGTGGACATTTGGAGCGCTTTCAGGCCTATTTTGGAAAGGGAAATATCTTCCCGTAACAACTATGCAGAAGCATTCTCAGAAACTTGTTTGTGATGTGTGCCCTCTACTGACAGAGTTGAACCTTTCTTTTCATAGAGCAGTTTTGAAACACTCTTTTTGTAGAATCTGCAAGAGGATATTTGCATAGCTTTGAGGATTTCGTGGGAAACGGGATTGTCTTCCGGTAAAATCTAGACAGAAGCATTCTCAGAAACTTCTTTGGGATGTTTGCATTCAAGTCACAGAGTAGAACATTCCCTTTGGTAGAGCAGGTTTGAAACACTCTTTTTGTAGTATCTGGAAGTGGACATTTGGAGCGCTTTCAGGCCCATGTTGGAAAGGGAAATATCTTCCCGTAACAACTAGGCAGAAGCATTCTCAGAAACTTATTTGAGATGTGTGTACTCAACTAAGAGAATTGAACCACCGTTTTGAAGGAGCAGTTTTGAAACACTCTTTTTCTGGAATCTGCAAGAGGATATTTGCCTAGCCTTGAGGATTTCGTTGGAAACGGGATTGTCTTCAGAGAAAATGCTAGACAGAAGCATTCTCAGAAACTTCTTTGGGATGTTTGCATTCAAGTCACAGAGTAGAACATTCCCTTTGGTAGAGCAGGTTTGAAACACTCTTTTTTTAGTATATGGAAGTGGACATTTGGAGCGCTTTCAGGCCTACGTTGGAAAAGGAAATATCTTCCCATAACAACTAGACAGAAGCATTCTCAGAAACTAGTTTCTGATGTGTGTCCTCAACTAACACAGTTGAACATTTCTTTAGACAGAACAGTTTTGAAACACTCTTTTTGTGGAATCTGCAAGTGGCTATTTGGCTAGATTTGAGGATTTCGTTGGAAACGGGATTACATATAAAAAGCAGACAGCAGCATTCTCAGAAACTTCTTTGTGATGATTGCATTCAAGTCACAGAATTGAACATTCCCTTTCACAGAGCAGGTTTGAAACACTCTTTTTGTAGTGTGTGTAAGTGGACATTTGGAGCACTTTCCGGCCTAAGGTGAAAAAGGAAATATCTTCCCATAAAAACTAGACAGAAACATTCTCATAAACTTACTCGTGATGTGTGTCCTCAACTAAAGGAGTAGAACCTTTCTTTTCATAGAGAAGTTTTGAAACGCTCTTTTTGTGGAATCTGCAAGTGGATATTTGGCTAGTTTTGAGGATTTCGTTGGAAGCGGGAATTCATACAAACTGCAGACTGCAGCGTTCTGAGAAACATCTTTGTGATGTTTGTATTCAGGACACAGAGTTGAACATTCCCTATCATAGAGCAGGTTTGAATCACTCCTTTTGTAGTATCTGGAAGTGGACATTTGGAGCGCTTTCAGGCCTATGTTGGAAAAGGAAATATCTTCCCATAACAACTAGACAGAAGCATTCCCAAAAACTTATTTGAGATGTGTGTACTCAACTATGAGAATTGAACCACCGTTTTGAAGGAGCAGTTTGGAAACACTCTTTTTCTGGAATCTGCAAGTGGATATTTGGCTAGCTTTGGGGATTTCGCTGGAAGCGGGAATACATATAAAAAGCACACAGCAGCGTTCTGAGAAACTGCTTTCTGATGTTTGCATTCAAGTCAAAAGTTGAACACTCCCTTTCATAGAGCAGTCTTGAAACACCCCTTTTGTAGTATCTGGAACTGGACATTTGGAGCGCCTTCAGGGCTAAGGTGAAAAAGGAAATATCTTCCCATAAAAACTGGACAGAAGCATTCTCAGAAACCTGTTTATGCTGTATCTATTCAACTAACAAAGTTGAACCTTTCTTTTGATAGAGCAGTTTTGAAATGCTCTTTTTGTGGAATCTGCAAGTGGATATTTCGCTAGTTTTGAGGATTTCGTTGGAAGCGGGAATTCATACAAATTGCAGACTGCAGCGTTCTGAGAAACATCTTTGTGATGTTTGTATTCAGGACACAGAGATGAACATTCCCTATCATAGAGCAGGTTGGAATCACTCCTTTTGTAGTATCTGGAAGTGGACATTTGGAGCGCTTTCAGGCCTATGTTGAAAAAGGAAATATCTTCCCATAACAACTAGACACAAGCATTCTCAGAAACTTGTTTGTGATGTGCGCCCTCTACTGACAGAGTTGAACCTTTCTTTTCATAGAGCAGTTTTGAAACACTCTTTTTGTAGAATCTGCAAGAGGATATTTGCATAGATTTGAGGATTTCGTGGGAAACGGGATTGTCTTCAGGTAAAATCTAGACAGAAGCATTCTCAGAAACTTCTTTGGGATGTTTGCATTCAAGTCACAGAGTAGAACATTCCCTTTGGTAGAGCAGGTTTGAAACCCTCTTTTTGTAGTATCTGGAAGTGGACATTTGGAGCGCTTTCAGGCCCATGTTGGAAAGGGAAATATCTTCCCGTAACAACTAGGCAGAAGCATTCTCAG
Source organism: Homo sapiens (assembly GCF_000001405.40). Lineage (NCBI taxonomy): Eukaryota > Metazoa > Chordata > Mammalia > Primates > Hominidae > Homo > Homo sapiens. Next base: position 18,861,384 of record NC_000018.10, read on the forward strand.
AAACTTATTTGAGATGTGTGTACTCAACTAAGAGAATTGAACCACCGTTTTGAAGGAGCAGTTTTGAAACACTCTTTTTCTGGAATCTGCAAGAGTATATTTGCCTAGCCTTGAGGATTTCGTTGGAAACGGGATTGTCTTCAGAGAAAATCTAGACAGAAGCATTCTCAGAAACTTCTTTGGGATGTTTGCATTCAAGTCACAGAGTAGAACATTCCCTTTGGTAGAGCAGGTTTGAAACACTCTTTTTTTAGTATATGGAAGTGGACATTTGGAGCGCTTTCAGGCCTACGTTGGAAAAGGAAATATCTTCCCATAACAACTAGACAGAAGCATTCTCAGAAACTAGTTTCTGATGTGTGTCCTCAACTAACACAGTTGAACATTTCTTTAGACAGAACAGTTTTGAAACAATCTCTTTGTGGAATCTGCAAGTGGCTATTTGGCTAGATTTGAGGATTTCGTTGGAAACGGGATTACATATAAAAAGCAGTCAGCAGCATTCTCAGAAACTTCTTTGTGATGATTGCATTCAAGTCACAGAATTGAACATTCCCTTTCACAGAGCAGGTTTGAAACACTCTTTTTGTAGTGTGTGTAAGTGGACATTTGGAGCACTTTCCGGCCTAAGGTGAAAAAGGAAATATCTTCCCATAAAAACTAGACAGAAGCATTCTCAGAAACTTACTCGTGATGTGTGTCCTCAACTAAAGGAGTAGAACCTTTCTTTTCATAGAGAAGTTTTGAAACGCTCTTTTTGTGGAATCTGCAAGTGGATATTTGGCTAGTTTTGAGGATTTCGTTGGAAGCGGGAATTCATACAAATTGCAGACTGCAGCGTTCTGAGAAACATCTTTGTGATGTTTGTATTCAGGACACAGAGTTGAACATTCCCTATCATAGAGCAGGTTTGAATCACTCCTTTTGTAGTATCTGGAAGTGGACATTTGGAGCGCTTTCAGGCCTATGTTGGAAAAGGAAATATCTTCCCATAACAACTAGACACAAGCATTCTCAGAAACTTATTTGAGATGTGTGTACTCAACTAAGAGAATTGAACCACCGTTTTGAAGGAGCAGTTTTGAAACACTCTTTTTCTGGAATCTGCAAGTGGATATTTGGCTAGCTTTGGGGATTTCGCTGGAAGCGGGAATACATATAAAAAGCACACAGCAGCGTTCTGAGAAACTGCTTTCTGATGTTTGCATTCAAGTCAAAAGTTGAACACTCCCTTTCATAGAGCAGTCCTGAAACACTCCTTTTGTAGTATCTGGAACTGGACTTTTGGAGCGCTTTCAGGGCTAAGGTGAAAAAGGAAATATCTTCCCATAAAAACTGGACAGAAGCATTCTCAGAAACTTGTTTATGCTGTATCTACTCAACTAACAAAGTTGAACCTTTCTTTTGATAGAGCAGTTTTGAAATGCTCTTTTTGTGGAATCTGCAAGTGGATATTTGGCTAGTTTTGAGGATTTCGCTGGAAGCGGGAATTCATACAAATTGCAGACTGCAGCGTTCTGAGAAACATCTTTGTGATGTTTGTATTCAGGACAGAGAGTTGAACATTCCCTATCATAGAGCAGGTTGGAATCACTCCTTTTGTAGTATCTGGAAGTGGACATTTGGAGCGCTTTCAGGCCTATGTTGAAAAAGGAAATATCTTCCCATAACAACTAGACACAAGCATTCTCAGAAACTTGTTTGTGATGTGTGCCCTCTACTGACAGAGTTGAACCTTTCTTTTCATAGAGCAGTTTTGAAACACTCTTTTTGTAGAATCTGCAAGAGGATATTTGCATAGCTTTGAGGATTTCGTGGGAAACGGGATTGTCTTCAGGTAAAATCTAGACAGAAGCATTCTCAGAAACTTCTTTGGGATGTTTGCATTCAAGTCACAGAGCAGAACATTCCCTTTGGTAGAGCAGGTTTGAAACACTCTTTTTGTAGTATCTGGAAGTGGACATTTGGAGCGCTTTCAGGCCTATGTTGGAAAGGGAAATATCTTCCCGTAACAACTAGGCAGAAGCATTCTCAGAAAGGTATTTGAGATGTGTGTACTCAACTAAGAGAATTGAACCACCGTTTTCAAGGAGCAGTTTTGAAACACTCTTTCTCTGGAATCTGCAAGAGGATATTTGCCTAGCCTTGAGGATTTCGTTGGAAACGGGATTGTCTTCAGATCAAATCTAGACAGAAGCATTCTCAGAAACTTCTTTGGGATGTTTGCATTCAAGTCACAGAATAGAACATTCCCTTTGGTAGAGCAGGTTTGAAACACTCTTTTTTTAGTATATGGAAGTGGACATTTGGAGCGCTTTCAGGCCTACGTTGGAAAAGGAAATATCTTCCCATAACAACTAGACAGAAGCATTCTCAGAAACTAGTTTCTGATGTGTGTCCTCAACTAACACAGTTGAACATTTCTTTAGACAGAACAGTTTTGAAACACTCTTTTTGTGGAATCTGCAAGTGGCTATTTGGCTAGATTTGAGGATTTCGTTGGAAACGGGATTACATATAAAAAGCAGACAGCAGCATTCTCAGAAAATTCTTTGGGATGATTGCATTCAAGTCACAGAATTGAACATTCCCTTTCACAGAACAGGTTTGAAACACTCTTTTTGTCGTGTGTGTAAGTGGACATTTGGAGCACTTTCCGGCCTAAGGTGAAAAAGGAAATATCTTCCCATAAAAACTAGACAGAAGCATTCTCAGAAACTTACTCGTGATGTGTGTCCTCAACTAAAGGAGTAGAACCTTTCTTTTCATAGAGAAGTTTTGAAACGCTCTTTTTGTGGAATCTGCATGTGGATATTTGGCTAGTTTTGAGGATTTCGTTGGAAGCGGGAATTCATACAAATTGCAGACTGCAGCGTTCTGAGAAACATCTTTGTGATGTTTGTATTCAGGACACAGAGTTGAACATTCCCTATCATAGAGCAGGTTTGAATCACTCCTTTTGTAGTATCTGGAAGTGGACATTTGGAGCGCTTTCAGGCCTATGTTGGAAAAGGAAATATCTTCCCATAACAACTAGACAGAAGCATTCCCAGAAACTTATTTGAGATGTGTGTACTCAACTAAGAGAATTGAACCACCGTTTTGAAGGAGCAGTTTGGAAACACTCTTTTTCTGGAATCTGCAAGTGGATATTTGGCTAGCTTTGGGGATTTCGCTGGAAGCGGGAATACATATAAAAAGCACACAGCAGCGTTCTGAGAAACTGCTTTCTGATGTTTGCATTCAAGTCAAAAGTTGAACACTCCCTTTCATAGAGCAGTCTTGAAACACCCCTTTTGTAGTATCTGGAACTGGAAATTTGGAGCGCTTTCAGGGCTAAGGTGAAAAAGGAAATATCTTCCCATAAAAACTGGACAGAAGCATTCTCAGAAACTTGTTTATGCTGTATCTGCTCAACTAACAAAGTTGAACCTTTCTTTTGATAGAGCAGTTTTGAAATGCTCTTTTTGTGGAATCTGCAAGTGGATATTTGGCTAGTTTTGAGGATTTCGTTGGAAGCGGGAATTCATACAAATTGCAGACTGCAGCGTTCTGAGAAACATCTTTGTGATGTTTGTATTCAGGACACAGAGTTGAACATTCCCTATCATAGAGCAGGTTGGGATCACTCCTTTTGTAGTATCTGGAAGTGGACATTTGGAGCGCTTTCAGGCCTATGTTGAAAAAGGAAAAATCTTCCCATAACAACTAGACAGAAGCATTCTCAGAAACTTGTTGGTGATGTGTTTCCTCTACTGACAGAGTTGAACCTTTCTTTTCATAGAGCAGTTCCGAAACACTCTTTTTGTAGAATCTGCAAGAGGATATTTGCATAGCTCTGAGGATTTCGTGGGAAACGGGATTGTCTTCAGGTAAAATCTAGACAGAAGCATTCTCAGAAACTTCTTTGGGATGTTTGCATTCAAGTCACAGAGTAGAACATTCCCTTTGGTAGAGCAGGTTTGAAACACTCTTTTTGTAGTATCTGGAAGTGGACATTTGGAGCGCTTTCAGGCCCATGTTGGAAAGGGAAATATCTTCCCGTAACAACTAGGCAGAAGCATTCTCAGAAACTTATTTGAGATGTGTGTACTCAACTAAGAGAATTGAACCACCGTTTTGAAGGAGCAGTTTTGAAACACTCTTTTTCTGGAATCTGCAAGAGTATATTTGCCTAGCCTTGAGGATTTCGTTGGAAACGGGATTGTCTTCAGAGAAAATCTAGACAGAAGCATTCTCAGAAACTTCTTTGGGATGTTTGCATTCAAGTCACAGAGTAGAACATTCCCTTTGGTAGAGCAGGTTTGAAACACTCTTTTTGTAGTATCTGGAAGTGGACATTTGGAGCGCTTTCAGGCCTACGTTGGAAAAGGAAATATCTTCCCATAACAACTAGACAGAAGCATTCTCAGAAACTAGTTTCTGATGTGTGTCCTCAACTAACACAGTTGAACATTTCTTTAGACAGAACAGTTTTGAAACACTCTTTTTGTGGAATCTGCAAGTGGCTATTTGGCTAGATTTGAGGATTTCGTTGGAAACGGGATTACATATAAAAAGCAGTCAGCCAGCATTCTCAGAAGTTCTTTGTGATGATTGCATTCAAGTCACAGAATTGAACATTCCCTTTCACAGAGCAGGTTTGAAACACTCTTTTTGTAGTGTGTGTAAGTGGACATTTGGAGCACTTTCCGGCCTAAGGTGAAAAAGGAAATATCTTCCCATAAAAACTAGACAGAGCATTCTCAGAAACTTACTCGTGATGTGTGTCCTCAACTAAAGGAGTAGAACCTTTCTTTTCATAGAGAAGTTTTGAAACGCTCTTTTTGTGGAATCTGCAAGTGGATATTTGGCTAGTTTTGAGGATTTCGTTGGAAGCGGGAATTCATACAAATTGCAGACTGCAGCGTTCTGAGAAACATCTTTGTGATGTTTGTATTCAGGACACAGAGTTGAACATTCCCTATCATAGAGCAGGTTGGAATCACTCCTTTTGTAGTATCTGGAAGTGGACATTTGGAGCGCTTTCAGGCCTATGTTGGAAAAGGAAATATCTTCCCATAACAACTAGACAGAAGCATTCTCAGAAACTTATTTGAGATGTGTGTACTCAACTAAGAGAATTGAACCACCGTTTTGAAGGAGCTGTTTTGAAACACTCTTTTTCTGGAATCTGCAAGTGGATATTTGGCTAGCTTTGGGGATTTCGCTGGAAGCGGGAATACATATAAAAAGCACACAGCAGCGTTCTGAGAAACTGCTTTCTGATGTTTGCATTCAAGTCAAAAGTTGAACACTCCCTTTCATAGAGCAGTCTTGAAACACCCCTTTTGTAGTATCTGGAACTGGACTTTTGGAGCGATTTCAGGGCTAAGGTGAAAAAGGAAATATCTTCCCATAAAAACTGGACAGAAGCATTCTCAGAAACTTGTTTATGCTGTATCTACTCAACTAACAAAGTTGAACCTTTCTTTTGATAGAGCAGTTTTGAAATGGTCTTTTTGTGGAATCTGCAAGTGGATATTTGGCTAGTTTTGAGGATTTCGTTGGAAGCGGGAATTCATACAAATTGCAGACTGCAGCGTTCTGAGAAACATCTTTGTGATGTTTGTATTCAGGACACAGAGATGAACATTCCCTATCATAGAGCAGGTTGGAATCACTCCTTTTGTAGTATCTGGAAGTGGACATTTGGAGCGCTTTCAGGCCTATGTTGAAAAAGGAAATATCTTCCCATAACAACTAGACACAAGCATTCTCAGAAACTTGTTTGTGATGTGTGCCCTCTACTGACAGAGTTGAACCTTTCTTTTCATAGAGCAGTTTTGAAACACTATTTTTGTAGAATCTGCAAGAGGATATTTGCATAGCTTTGAGGATTTCGTGGGAAACGGGATTGTCTTCAGTTAAAATCTAGACAGAAGCATTCTCAGAAACTTCTTTGGGATGTTTGCATTCAAGTCACAGAGTAGAACATTCCCTTTGGTAGAGCAGGTTTGAAACACTCTTTTTGTAGTATCTGGAAGTGGACATTTGGAGCGCTTTCAGGCCCATGTTGGAAAGGGAAATATCTTCCCGTAACAACTAGGCAGAAGCATTCTCAGAAACTTATTTGAGATGTGTGTACTCAACTAAGAGAATTGAACCACCGTTTTGAAGGAGCAGTTTTGAAACCCTCTTTTTCTGGAATCTGCAAGAGTATATTTGCCTAGCCTTGAGGATTTCGTTGGAAACGGGATTGTCTTCAGATAAAATCTAGACAGAAGCATTCTCAGAAACTTCTTTGGGATGTTTGCATTCAAGTCACTGAGTAGAACATTCCCTTTGGTAGAGCAGGTTTGAAACACTCTTTTTTTAGTATATGGAAGTGGACATTTGGAGCGCTTTCAGGCCTACGTTGGAAAAGGAAATATCTTCCCATAACAACTAGACAGAAGCATTCTCAGAAACTAGTTTCTGATGTGTGTCCTCAACTAACACAGTTGTACATTTCTTTAGACAGAACAGTTTTGAAACACTCTTTTTGTGGAATCTGCAAGTGGATATTGGGCTAGATTTGAGGATTTCGTTGGAAACGGGATTACATATAAAAAGCAGACAGCAGCATTCTCAGAAAGTTCTTTGTGATGATTGCATTCAAGTCACAGAATTGAACATTCCCTTTCACAGAGCAGGTTTGAAACACTCTTTTTGTAGTGTGTGTAAGTGGACATTTGGAGCACTTACCGGCCTAAGGTGAAAAAGGAAATATCTTCCCATAAAAACTAGACAGAAGCATTCTCAGAAACTTACTCGTGATGTGTGTCCTCAACTAAAGGAGTAGAACCTTTCTTTTCATAGAGAAGTTTTGAAACGCTCTTTTTGTGGAATCTGCAAGTGGATATTTGGCTAGTTTTGAGGATTTCGTTGGAAGCGGGAATTCATACAAATTGCAGCCTGCAGCGTTCTGAGAAACATCTTTGTGATGTTTGTATTCAGGACATAGAGTTGAACATTCCCTATCATAGAGCAGGTTGGAATCACTCCTTTTGTAGTATCTGGAAGTGGACATTTGGAGCGCTTTCAGGCCTATGTTGAAAAAGGAAATATCTTCCCATAACAACTAGACACAAGCATTCTCAGAAACTTATTTGAGATGTGTGTACTCAACTAAGAGAATTGAACCACCGTTTTGAAGGAGCAGTTTTGAAACTCTCTTTTTCTGGAATCTGCAAGTGGATATTTGGCTAGCTTTGGGGATTTCGCTGGAAGCGGGAATACATATAAAAAGCACACAGCAGCGTTCTGAGAAACTGCTTTCTGATGTTTGCATTCAAGTCAAAAGTTGAACACTCCCTTTCATAGAGCAGTCTTGAAACACCCCTTTTGTAGTATCTGGAACTGGACTTTTGGAGCGATTTCAGGGCTAAGGTGAAAAAGGAAATATCTTCCCATAAAAACTGGACAGAAGCATTCTGAGAAACTTGTTTATGCTGTATCTACTCAACTAACAAATTTGAAGCTTTCTTTTGATAGAGCAGTTTTGTAATGCTCTTTTTGTGGAATCTGCAAGTGGATATTTGGCTAGTTTTGAGGATTTCGTTGGAAGCGGGAATTCATACAAATTGCACACTGCAGCGTTCTGAGAAACATCTTTGTGATGCTTGTATTCAGGACACAGAGTTGAACATTCCCTATCATAGAGCAGGTTGGAATCACTCCTTTTGTAGTATCTGGAAGTGGACATTTGGAGCGCTTTCAGGCCTATGTTGAAAAAGGAAATATCTTCCCATAACAACTAGACACAAGCATTCTCAGAAACTTGTTTGTGATGTGTGCCCTCTACTGACAGAGTTGAACCTTTCTTTTCATAGAGCAGTTTTGAAACACTCTTTTTGTAGAATCTGCAAGAGGATATTTGCATAGCTTTGAGGATTTCGCGGGAAACGGGATTGTCTTCAGGTAAAATCTAGACAGAAGCATTCTCAGAAACTTCTTTGGGATGTTTGCATTCAAGTCACAGAGTAGAACATTCCCTTTGGTAGAGCAGGTTTGAAACACTCTTTTTGTAGTATCTGGAAGTGGACATTTGGAGCGCTTTCAGGCCCATGTTGGAAAGGGAAATATCTTCCCGTAACAACTAGGCAGAAGCATTCTCAGAAACTTATTTGAGATGTGTGTACTCAACTAAGAGAATTGAACCACCGTTTTGAAGGAGCAGTTTTGAAACCCTCTTTTTCTGGAATCTGCAAGAGTATATTTGCCTAGCCTTGAGGATTTCGTTGGAAACGGGATTGTCTTCAGATAAAATCTAGACAGAAGCATTCTCAGAAACTTCTTTGGGATGTTTGCATTCAAGTCACAGAGTAGAACATTCCCTTTGGTAGAGCAGGTTTGAAACACTCTTTTTTTAGTATATGGAAGTGGACATTTGGAGCGCTTTCAGGCCTACGTTGGAAAAGGAAATATCTTCCCATAACAACTAGACAGAAGCATTCTCAGAAACTAGTTCCTGATGTGTGTCCTCAACTAACACAGTTGAACATTTCTTTAGACAGAAGAGTTTTGAAACACTCTTTTTGTGGAATCTACAAGTGGATATTTGGCTAGATTTGAGGATTTCGTTGGAAACGGGATTACATATAAAAAGCAGACAGCAGCATTCTCAGAAAGTTCTTTGTGATGATTGCATTCAAGTCACAGAATTGAACATTCCCTTTCACAGAGCAGGTTTGAAACACTCTTTTTGTAGTGTGTGTAAGTGGACATTTGGAGCACTTACCGGCCTAAGGTGAAAAAGGAAATATCTTCCCATAAAAACTAGACAGAAGCATTCTCAGAAACTTACTCGTGATGTGTGTCCTCAACTAAAGGAGTAGAACCTTTCTATTCATAGAGAAGTTTGAAACGCTCTTTTTGTGGAATCTCCAAGTGGATATTTGGCTAGTTTTGAGGATTTCGTTGGAAGCGGGAATTCATACAAATTGCAGACTGCAGCGTTCTGAGAAACATCTTTGTGATGTTTGTATTCAAGACACAGAGATGAACATTCCCTATCATAGAGCAGGTTGGAATCACTCCTTTTGTAGTATCTGGAAGTGGACATTTGGAGCGCTTTCAGGCCTATGTTGAAAAAGGAAATATCTTCCCATAACAACTAGACAGAAGCATTCTCAGAAACTTGTTTGTGATGTGTGCCCTCTGCTGACAGAGTTGAACCTTTCTTTTCATAGAGCAGTTTTGAAACACTCTTTTTGTAGAATCCGCAAGAGGATATTTGCATAGCTTTGAGGATTTCGTGGGAAATGGGATTGTCTTCAGGTAAAATCTAGACAGAAGCATTCTCAGAAACTTCTTTGGGATGTTTGCATTCAAGTCACAGAGTAGAACATTCCCTTTGGTAGAGCAGGTTTGAAACACTCTTTTTGTAGTATCTGGAAGTGGACATTTGGAGCGCTTTCAGGCCCATGTTGGAAAGGGAAATATCTTCCCGTAACAACTAGGCAGAAGCATTCTCAGAAACTTATTTGAGATGTGTGTACTCAACTAAGAGAATTGAACCACCGTTTTGAAGGAGCAGTTTTGAAACACTCTTTTTCTGGATTCTGCAAGAATATATTTGCCTAGCCTTGAGGATTTCGTTGGAAACGGGATTGTCTTCAGATAAAATCTAGACAGAAGCATTCTCAGAAACTTCTTTGGGATGTTTGCATTCAAGTCACAGAGTAGAACATTCCCTTTGGTAGAGCAGGTTTGAAACACTCTTTTTTTAGTATATGGAAGTGGACATTTGGAGCGCTTTCAGGCCTACGTTGGAAAAGGAAATATCTTCCCATAACAACTAGACAGAAGCATTCTCAGAAACTAGTTTCTGATGTGTGTCCTCAACTACCACAGTTGTACATTTCTTTACACAGAACAGTTTTGAAACACTCTTTTTGTGGAATCTGCAAGTGGATATTGGGGTAGATTTGAGGATTTCGTTGGAAACGGGATTACATATAAAAAGCAGACAGCAGCATTCTCAGAAAGTTCTTTGTGATGATTGCATTCAAGTCACAGAATTGAACATTCCCTTTCACAGAGCAGGTTTGAAACACTCTTTTTGTAGTGTGTGTAAGTGGACATTTGGAGCGCTTTCCGGCCTAAGGTGAAAAAGGACATATCTTCCCATAAAAACTAGACAGAAGCATTCTCAGAAACTTACTCGTGATGTGTGTCCTCAACTAAAGGAGTAGAACCTTCCTTTTCATAGAGAAGTTTTGAAACGCTCTTTTTGTGGAATCTGCAAGTGGATATTTGGCTAGTTTTGAGGATTTCGTTGGAAGCGGGAATTCATACAAATTGCAGACTGCAGCGTTCTGAGAAACATCTTTGTGATGTTTGTATTCAGGACACAGAGTTGAACATTCCCTATCATAGAGCAGGTTTGAATCACTCCTTTTGTAGTATCTGGAAGTGGACATTTGGAGCGCTTTCAGGCCTATGTTGGAAAAGGAAATATCTTCCCATAACAACTAGACAGAAGCATTCTCAGAAACTTATTTGAGATGTGTGTACTCAACTAAGAGAATTGAACCACCGTTTTGAAGGAGCAGTTTTGAAACACTCTTTTTCTGGAATCTGCAAGTGGCTATTTGGCTAGCTTTGGGGATTTCGCTGGAAGCGGGAATACATATAAAAAGCACACAGCAGCGTTCTGAGAAACTGCTTTCTGATGTTTGCATTCAAGTCAAAAGTTGAACACTCCCTTTCATTGAGCAGTCCTGAAACACTCCTTTTGTAGTATCTGGAACTGGACTTTTGGAGCGCTTTCAGGGCTAAGGTGAAAAAGGAAATATCTTCCCATAAAAACTGGACAGAAGCATTCTCAGAAACTTGTTTATGCTGTATCTACTCAACTAACAAAGTTGAACCTTTCTTTTGATAGAGCAGTTTTGAAATGCTCTTTTTGTGGAATCTGCAAGTGGATATTTGGCTAGTTTTGAGGATTTCGTTGGAAGCGGGAATTCATACAAATTGCAGACTGCAGCGTTCTGAGGAAACATCTTTGTGATGTTTGTATTCAGGACAGAGAGTTGAACATTCCCTATCATAGAGCAGGTTGGAATCACTCCTTTTGTAGTATCTGGAAGTGGACATTTGGAGCGCTTTCAGGCCTATGTTGAAAAAGGAAATATCTTCCCATAACAACTAGACACAAGCATTCTCAGAAACTTGTTTGTGATGTGTGCCCTCTACTGACAGAGTTGAACCTTTCTTTTCATAGAGCAGTTTTGAAACACTCTTTTTGTAGAATCTGCAAGAGGATATTTGCATAGCTTTGAGGATTTCGTGGGAAACGGGATTGTCTTCAGGTAAAATCTAGACAGAAGCATTCTCAGAAACTTCTTTGGGATGTTTGCATTCAAGTCACATAGTAGAACATTCCCTTTGGTAGAGCAGGTTTGAAACCCTCTTTTTGTAGTATCTGGAAGTGGACATTTGGAGCGCTTTCAGGCCCATGTTGGAAAGGGAAATATCTTCCCGTAACAACTAGGCAGAAGCATTCTCAGAAACTTATTTGAGATGTGTGTACTCAACTAAGAGAATTGAACCACCGTTTTGAAGGAGCAGTTTTGAAACACTCTTTTTCTGGAATCTGCAAGAGTATATTTGCCTAGCCTTGAGGATTTCGTTGGAAACGGGATTGTCTTCAGATAAAATCTAGACAGAAGCATTCTCAAAAACTTCTTTGGGATGTTTGCATTCAAGTCACAGAGTAGAACATTCCCTTTGGTAGAGCAGGTTTGAAACACTCTTTTTTTAGTATATGGAAGTGGACATTTGGAGCGCTTTCAGGCCTACGTTGGAAAAGGAAATATCTTCCCATAACAACTAGACAGAAGCATTCTCAGAAACTAGTTTCTGATGTGTGTCCTCAACTAACACAGTTGTACATTTCTTTAGACAGAACAGTTTTGAAACACTCTTTTTGTGGAATCTGCAAGTGGATATTGGGCTAGATTTGAGGATTTCGTTGGAAACGGGATTACATATAAAAAGCAGTCAGCAGCATTCTCAGAAAGTTCTTTGTGATGATTGCATTCAAGTCACAGAATTGAACATTCCCTTTCACAGAGCAGGTTTGAAACACTCTTTTTGTAGTGTGTGTAAGTGGACATTTGGAGTGCTTTCCGGCCTAAGGTGAAAAAGGACATATCTTCCCATGAAAACTAGACAGAAGCATTCTCAGAACTTACTCGTGATGTGTGTCCTCAACTAAAGGAGTAGAACCTTTCTTTTCATAGAGAAGTTTTGAAACGCTCTTTTTGTGGAATCTGCAAGTGGATATTTGGCTAGTTTTGAGGATTTCGTTGGAAGCGGGAATTCATACAAATTGCAGACTGCAGCGTTCTGAGAAACATCTTTGTGATGTTTGTATTCAGGACACAGAGTTGAACATTCCCTATCATAGAGCAGGTTTGAATCACTCCTTTTGTAGTATCTGGAAGTGGACATTTGGAGCGCTTTCAGGCCTATGTTGGAAAAGGAAATATCTTCCCATAACAACTAGACAGAAGCATTCTCAGAAACTTATTTGAGATGTGTGTACTCAACTAAGAGAATTGAACCACCGTTTTGAAGGAGCAGTTTTGAAACTCTCTTTTTCTGGAATCTGCAAGTGGATATTTGGCTAGCTTTGGGGATTTCGCTGGAAGCGGGAATACATATAAAAAGCACACAGCAGCGTTCTGAGAAACTGCTTTCTGATGTTTGCATTCAAGTCAAAAGTTGAACACTCCCTTTCATAGAGCAGTCTTGAAACACCCCTTTTGTAGTATCTGGAACTGGACTTTTGGAGCGATTTCAGGGCTAAGGTGAAAAAGGAAATATCTTCCCATAAAAACTGGACAGAAGCATTCTCAGAAACTTGGTTATGCTGTATCTACTCAACTAACAAAGTTGAACCTTTCTTTTGATAGAGCAGTTTTGAAATGGTCTTTTTGTGGAATCTGCAAGTGGATATTTGGCTAGTTTTGAGGATTTCGTTGGAAGCGGGAATTCATACAAATTGCAGACTGCAGCGTTCTGAGAAACATCTTTGTGATGTTTGTATTCAGGACACAGAGTTGAACATTCCCTATCATAGAGCAGGTTGGAATCACTCCTTTTGTAGTATCTGGAAGTGGACATTTGGAGCGCTTTCAGGCCTATTTTGGAAAGGGAAATATCTTCCCGTAACAACTATGCAGAAGCATTCTCAGAAACTTGTTTGTGATGTGTGCCCTCTACTGACAGAGTTGAACCTTTCTTTTCATAGAGCAGTTTTGAAACACTCTTTTTGTAGAATCTGCAAGAGGATATTTGCATAGCTTTGAGGATTTCGTGGGAAACGGGATTGTCTTCAGGTAAAATCTAGACAGAAGCATTCTCAGAAACTTCTTTGGGATGTTTGCATTCAAGTCACAGAGCAGAACATTCCCTTTGGTAGAGCAGGTTTGAAACACTCTTTTTGTAGTATCTGGAAGTGTACATTTGGAGCGCTTTCAGGCCTATGTTGGAAAGGGAAATATCTTCCCGTAACAACTAGGCAGAAGCATTCTCAGAAACTTATTTGAGATGTGTGTACTCAACTAAGAGAATTGAACCACCGTTTTGAAGGAGCAGTTTTGAAACACTCTTTTTCTGGAATCTGCAAGAGGATATTTGCCTAGCCTTGAGGATTTCGTTGGAAACGGGATTGTCTTCAGATCAAATCTAGACAGAAGCATTCTCAGAAACTTCTTTGGGATGTTTGCATTCAAGTCACGGAGTAGAACATTCCCTTTGGTAGAGCAGGTTTGAAACACTCTTTTTTTAGTATATGGAAGTGGACATTTGGAGCGCTTTCAGGCCTACGTTGGAAAAGGAAATATCTTCCCATAACAACTAGACAGAAGCATTCTCAGAAACTAGTTTCTGATGTGTGTCCTCAACTAACACAGTTGTACATTTCTTTAGACAGAACAGTTTTGAAACACTCTTTTTGTGGAATCTGCAAGTGGATATTTGGCTAGATTTGAGCATTTCGTTGGAAACGGGATTACATACAAAAAGCAGACAGCGGCATTCTCAGAAAGTTCTTTGTGATGATTGCATTCAAGTCACAGAATTGAACATTCCCTTTCACAGAGCAGGTTTGAAACACTCTTTTTGTAGTGTGTGTAAGCGGACATTTGGAGCGCTCTCCGGCCTAAGGTGAAAAAGGAAATATCTTCCCATAAAAACTAGACAGAAGCATTCTCAGAAACTTGTTTGTGATGTGTGCCCTCTACTGACAGAGTTGAACCTTTCTTTTCATAGAGCAGTTTTGAAACACTCTTTTTGTAGAATCTGCAAGAGGATATTTGCATAGCTTTGAGGATTTCGTGGGAAACGAGATTGTCTTCAGGTAAAATCTAGACAGAAGCATTCTCAGAAAGTTCTTCGGGATGTTTGCATTCAAGTCACAGAGTAGAACATTCCCTTTGGTAGAGCAGGTTTGAAACACTCTTTTTGTAGTATCTGGAAGTGGACATTTGGAGCGCTTTCAGGCCTATGTTGGAAAGGGAAATATCTTCCCGTAACAACTAGGCAGAAGCATTCTCAGAAACTTATTTGAGATGTGTGTACTCAACTAAGAGAATTGAACCACCGTTTTGAAGGAGCAGTTTTGAAACACTCTTTTTCTGGAATCTGCAATTGGATATTTGGCTAGCTTTGGGGATTTCGCTGGAAGCGGGAATACATATAAAAAGCACACAGCAGCGTTCTGAGAAACTTCTTTCTGATGTTCGCATTCAAGTCAAAAGTTGAACACTCCCTTTCATAGAGCAGTCTTGAAACTCCCCTTTTGTGGTATCTGGAAGTGGACATTTGGAGTGCTTTCAGGGCTAAGGTGAAAAAGGAAATATCTTCCCATAAAAACTGGACAGAAGCATTCTCAGAAACTTGTTTATGCTGTATCTACTCAGCTAACAAAGTTGAACCTTTCTTTTGATAGAGCAGTTTTGAAATGCTCTTTTTGTGGAGTCTGCAAGTGGATATTTGGTTAGTTTTGAGGATTTCTTTGGAAGCGGGAATTCATACAAATTGCAGACTGCAGCGTTCTGAGAAACATCTTTGTGATGTTTGTATTCAGGACACAGAGTTGAACATTCCCTATCATAGAGCAGGTTGGAATCACTCCTTTTGTAGTATCTGGAAGTGGACATTTGGAGCGCTTTCAGGCCTATGTTGAAAAAGGAAATATCTTCCCATAACAAGTAGACACAAGCATTCTCAGAAACTTGTTTGTGATGTGTGCCCTCTACTGACAGAGTTGAACCTTTCTTTTCATAGAGCAGTTTCGAAACACTCTTTTTGTAGAATCTGCAAGAGGATATTTGCATAGCTTTGAGGATTTCGTGGGAAACGGGATTGTCTTCAGGTAAAATCTAGACAGAAGCATTCTCAGAAAATTCTTCGGGATGTTTGCATTCAAGTCACAGAGTAGAACATTCCCTTTGGTAGAGCAGGTTTGAAACACTCTTTTTGTAGTATCTGGAAGTGGA
The DNA here is from genome assembly GCF_000001405.40 of Homo sapiens. Lineage (NCBI taxonomy): Eukaryota > Metazoa > Chordata > Mammalia > Primates > Hominidae > Homo > Homo sapiens. Next base: position 18,876,917 of record NC_000018.10, read on the forward strand.
CATTTGGAGCGCTTTCAGGCCTATGTTGGAAAGGGAAATATCTTCCCGTAACAACTAGGCAGAAGCATTCTCAGAAACTTATTTGAGATGTGTGTACTCAACTAAGAGAATTGAACCACCGTTTTGAAGGAGCAGTTTTGAAACACTCTTTTTCTGGAATCTGCAAGAGGATATTTGCATAGATTTGAGGATTTCGTTGGAAACGGGATTGTCTTCAGATCAAATCTAGACAGAAGCATTCTCAGAAACTTCTTTGGGATGTTTGCATTCAAGTCACAGAGTAGAACATTCCCTTTGGTAGAGCAGGTTTGAAACACTCTTTTTTTAGTATATGGAAGTGGACATTTGGAGCGCTTTCAGGCCTACGTTGGAAAAGGAAATATCTTCCCATAACAACTAGACAGAAGCATTCTCAGAAACTAGTTTCTGATGTGTGTCCTCAACTAACACAGTTGAACATTTCTTTAGACAGAACAGTTTTGAAACACTCTCTTTGTGGAATCTGCAAGTGGATATTTGGCTAGATTTGAGGATTTCGTTGGAAACGGGATTACATATAAAAAGCAGACAGCGGCATTCTCAGAAAGTTCTTTGTGATGATTGCATTCAAGTCACAGAATTGAACATTCCCTTTCACAGAGCAGGTTTGAAACACTCTTTTTGTAGTGTGTGTAAGTGGACATTTGGAGCACTTACCGGCCTAAGGTGAAAAAGGAAATATCTTCCCATAAAAACTAGACAGAAGCATTCTCAGAAACTTACTCGTGATGTGTGTCCTCAACTAAAAGAGTAGAACCTTTCTATTCATAGAGAAGTTTTGAAACGCTCTTTTTGTGGAATCTCCAAGTGGATATTTGGCTAGTTTTGAGGATTTCGTTGGAAGCGGGAATTCATACAAATTGCAGACTGCAGCGTTCTGAGAAACTGCTTTCTGATGTTTGCATTCAAGTCAAAAGTTGAACACTCCCTTTCATAGAGCAGTCCTGAAACACTCCTTTTGTAGTATCTGGAACTGGACTTTTGGAGCGCTTTCAGGGCTAAGGTGAAAAAGGAAATATCTTCCCATAAAAACTGGACAGAAGCATTCTCAGAAACTTGTTTATGCTGTATCTACTCTACTAAAAAAGTTGAACCTTTCTTTTGATAGAGCAGTTTTGAAATGCTCTTTTTGTGGAATCTGCAATTGGATATTTGGCTAGATTTGAGGATTTCGTTGGAAGCTGGAATACATACAAATTGCAGACTGCAGCGTTCTGAGAAACATCTTTGTGATGTTTGTATTCAGGACACAGAGTTGAACATTCCCTATCATAGAGCAGGTTGGAATCACTCCTTTTGTAGTATCTGGAAGTGGACATTTGGAGCGCTTTCAGGCCTATTTTGGAAAGGGAAATATCTTCCCGTAACAACTATGCAGAAGCATTCTCAGAAACTTGTTTGTGATGTGTGCCCTCTACTGACAGAGTTGAACCTTTCTTTTCTTAGAGCAGTTTTGAAACACTCTTTTTGTAGAATCTGCAAGAGGATATTTGCATAGCTTTGAGGATTTCGTGGGAAACGGGATTGTCTTCAGGTAAAATCTAGACAGAAGCATTCTCAGAAACATCCTTGGGATGTTTGCATTCAAGACACAGAGTAGAACATTCCCTTTGGTAGAGCAGGTTTGAAACACTCTTTTTGTAGTATCTGGAAGTGGACATTTGGAGCGCTTTCAGGCCCATGTTGGAAAGGGAAATATCTTCCCGTAACAACTAGGCAGAAGCATTCTCAGAAACTTATTTGAGATGTGTGTACTCAACTAAGAGAATTGAATCACCGTTTTGAAGGAGCAGTTTTGAAACACTCTTTTTCTGGAATCTGCAAGAGTATGTTTGCCTAGCCTTGAGGATTTCGTTGGAAACGGGATTGTCTTCAGATAAAATCTAGACAGAAGCATTCTCAGAAACTTCTTTGGGATGTTTGCATTCAAGTCACAGAGTAGAACATTCTCTTTGGTAGAGCAGGTTTGAAACACTCTTTTTTTAGTATCTGGAAGTGGACATTTGGAGCGCTTTCAGGCCTACGTTGGAAAAGGAAATATCTTCCCATAACAACTAGACAGAAGCATTCTCAGAAACTAGTTTCTGATGTGTGTCCTCAACTAACACAGTTGTACATTTCTTTATACAGAACAGTTTTGAAACACTCTTTTTGTGGAATCTGCAAGTGGATATTGGGCTAGATTTGAGTATTTCGTTGGAAACGGGATTACATATAAAAAGCAGACAGCAGCATTCTCAGAAAGTTCTTTGTGATGATTGCATTCAAGTCACAGAATTGAACATTCCCTTTCACAGAGCAGGTTTGAAACACTCTTTTTGTAGTGTGTGTAAGTGGACATTTGGAGCGCTTTCCGGCCTAAGGTGAAAAAGGACATATCTTCCCATAAAAACTAGACAGAAGCATTCTCAGAAACTTACTCGTGATGTGTGTCCTCAACTAAAGGAGTAGAACCTTTCTATTCATAGAGAAGTTTTGAAACGCTCTTTTTGTGGAATCTCCAAGTGGATATTTGGCTAGTGTTGAGGATTTCGTTGGAAGCGGGAATTCATACAAATTGCAGACTGCAGCGTTCTGAGAAACATCTTTGTGATGTTTGTATTCAGGACACAGAGTTGAACATTCCCTATCATAGAGCAGGTTGGAATCACTCCTTTTGTAGTATCTGGAAGTGGACATTTGGAGCGCTTTCAGGCCTATGTTGGAAAAGGAAATATCTTCCCATAACAACTAGACAGAAGCATTCTCAGAAACTTATTTGAGATGTGTGTACTCAACTAAGAGAATTGAACCACCGTTTTGAAGGAGCAGTTTTGAAACTCTCTTTTTCTGGAATCTGCAAGTGGATATTTGGCTAGCTTTGGGGATTTCGCTGGAAGCGGGAATACATATAAAAAGCACACAGCAGCGTTCTGAGAAACTGCTTTCTGATGTTTGCATTCAAGTCAAAAGTTGAACACTACCTTTCATAGAGCAGTCCTGAAACACCCCTTTTGTAGTATCTGGAACTGGACTTTTGGAGCGATTTCAGGGCTAAGGTGAAAAAGGAAATATCTTCCCATAAAAACTGGACAGAAGCATTCTCAGAAACTTGTTTATGCTGTATCTACTCAACTAACAAAGTTGAACCTTTCTTTTGATAGAGCAGTTTTGAAATGGTCTTTTTGTGGAATCTGCAAGTGGATATTTGGCTAGTTTTGAGGATTTCGTTGGAAGCGGGAATTCATACAAATTGCAGACTGCAGCGTTCTGAGAAACATCTTTGTGATGTTTGTATTCAGGACACAGAGTTGAACATTCCCTATCATAGAGCAGGTTGGAATCACTCCTTTTGTAGTATCTGGAAGTGGACATTTGGAGCGCTTTCAGGCCTATGTTGAAAAAGGAAATATCTTCCCATAACAAGTAGACACAAGCATTCTCAGAAACTTGTTTGTGATGTGTGCCCTCTACTGACAGAGTTGAACCTTTCTTTTCATAGAGCAGTTTTGAAACACTCTTTTTGTAGAATCTGCAAGAGGATATTTGCATAGCTTTGAGGATTTCGTGGGAAACGGGATTGTCTTCAGGTAAAATCTAGACAGAAGCATTCTCAGAAACTTCTTTGGGATGTTTGCATTCAAGTCACAGAGTAGAACATTCCCTTTGGTAGAGCAGGTTTGAAACACTCTTTTTGTAGTATCTGGAAGTGGACATTTGGAGCGCTTTCAGGCCTATGTTGGAAAGGGAAATATCTTCCCGTAACAACTAGGCAGAAGCATTCTCAGAAACTTATTTGAGATGTGTGTACTCAAGTAAGAGAATTGAACCACCGTTTTGAAGGAGCAGTTTTGAAACACTCTTTTTCTGGAATCTGCAAGAGGATATTTGCCTAGCCTTGATGATTTCGTTGGAAACGGGATTGTCTTCAGATCAAATCTAGACAGAAGCATTCTCAGAAACTTCTTTGGGATGTTTGCATTCAAGTCACAGAGTAGAACATTCCCTTTGGTAGAGCAGGTTTGAAACACTCTTTTTTTAGTATATGGAAGTGGACATTTGGAGCGCTTTCAGGCCTACGTTGGAAAAGGAAATATCTTCCCATAACAACTAGACAGAAGCATTCTCAGAAACTAGTTTCTGATGTGTGTCCTCAACTAACACAGTTGTACATTTCTTTAGACAGAACAGTTTTGAAACACTCTTTTTGTGGAATCTGCAAGTGGATATTGGGGTAGATTTGAGGATTTCGTTGGAAACGGGATTACATATAAAAAGCAGACAGCAGCATTCTCAGAAAGTTCTTTGTGATGATTGCATTCAAGTCACAGAATTGAACATTCCCTTTCACAGAGCAGGTTTGAAACACTCTTTTTGTAGTGTGTGTAAGTGGACATTTGGAGCGCTTTCCGGCCTAAGGTGAAAAAGGAAATATCTTCCCATAAAAACTAGACAGAAGCATTCTCAGAAACTTACTCGTGATGTGTGTCCTCAACTAAAGGAGTAGAACCTTTCTATTCATAGAGAAGGTTTGAAACGCTCTTTTTGTGGAATCTGCAAGTGGATATTTGGCTAGTTTTGAGGATTTCGTTGGAAGCGGGAATTCATACAAATTGCAGACTGCAGCGTTCTGAGAAACATCTTTGTGATGTTTGTATTCAGGACACAGAGATGAACATTCCCTATCATAGAGCAGGTTGGAATCACTCCTTTTGTAGTATCTGGAAGTGGACATTTGGAGCGCTTTCAGGCCTATGTTGAAAAAGGAAATATCTTCCCATAACAACTAGACACAAGCATTCTCAGAAACTTATTTGAGATGTGTGTACTCAACTAAGAGAATTGAACCACCGTTTTGAAGGAGCAGTTTTGAAACACTCTTTTTCTGGAATCTGCAAGTGGATATTTGGCTAGCTTTGGGGATTTCGCTGGAAGCGGGAATACATATAAAAAGCACACAGCAGCGTTCTGAGAAACTGCTTTCTGATGTTTGCATTCAAGTCAAAAGTTGAACACTCCCTTTCATAGAGCAGTCCTGAAACACTCCTTTTGTAGTATCTGGAACTGGACTTTTGGAGCGCTTTCAGGGCTAAGGTGAAAAAGGAAATATCTTCCCATAAAAACTGGACAGAAGCATTCTCAGAAACTTGTTTATGCTGTATCTACTCAACTAACAAAGTTGAACCTTTCTTTTGATAGAGCAGTTTTGAAATGCTCTTTTTGTGGAATCTGCAAGTGGATATTTGGCTAGTTTTGAGGATTTCGTTGGAAGCGGGAATTCATACAAATTGCAGACTGCAGCGTTCTGAGAAACATCTTTGTGATGTTTGTATTCAGGACAGAGAGTTGAACATTCCCTATCATAGAGCAGGTTGGAATCACTCCTTTTGTAGTATCTGGAAGTGGACATTTGGAGCGCTTTCAGGCCTATGTTGAAAAAGGAAATATCTTCCCATAACAACTAGACACAAGCATTCTCAGAAACTTGTTTGTGATGTGTGCCATCTACTGACAGAGTTGAACCTTTCTTTTCATAGAGCAGTTTTGAAACACTCTTTTTGTAGAATCTGCAAGAGGATATTTGCATAGCTTTGAGGATTTCGTGGGAAACGGGATTGTCTTCAGGTAAAATCTAGACAGAAGCATTCTCAGAAACTTCTTTGGGATGTTTGCATTCAAGTCACAGAGTAGAACATTCCCTTTGGTAGAGCAGGTTTGAAACACTCTTTTTGTAGTATCTGGAAGTGGACATTTGGAGCGCTTTCAGGCCTATGTTGGAAAGGGAAATATCTTCCCGTAACAACTAGGCAGAAGCATTCTCAGAAACTTATTTGAGATGTGTGTATTCAACTAAGAGAGTTGAACCACCGTTTTGAAGGAGCAGTTTTGAAACACTCTTTTTCTGGAATCTGAAAGAGGATATTTGCCTAGCCTTGAGGATTTCGTTGGAAACGAGATTGTCTTCAGATCAAATCTATACAGAAGCATTCTCAGAAACTTCTTTGGGATGTTTGCATTCAAGTCACAGAGTAGAACATTCCCTTTGGTAGAGCAGGTTTGAAACACTCTTTTTTTAGTATATGGAAGTGGACATTTGGAGCGCATTCAGGCCTACGTTGGAAAAGGAAATATCTTCCCATAACAACTAGACAGAAGCATTCTCAGAAACTAGTTTCTGATGTGTGTCCTCAACTAACACAGTTGCACATTCTTTAGACAGAACAGTTTTGAAACACTCTTTTTGTGGAATCTGCAAGTGGCTATTTGGCTAGATTTGAGGATTTCGTTGGAAACGGGATTACATATAAAAAGCAGTCAGCAGCATTCTCAGAAAGTTCTTTGTGATGATTGCATTCAAGTCACAGAATTGAACATTCCCTTTCACAGAGCAGGTTTGAAATACTCTTTTTTAGTGTGTGTAATTGGACATCTGGAGCACTTTCCGGCCTAAGGTGAAAAAGGAAATATCTTCCCATAAAAACTAGACAGAAGCATTCTCAGAAACTTACTCGTGATGTGTGTCCTCCACTAAATGAGTAGAACCTTTCTTTTCATAGAGAAGTTTTGAAACGCTCTTTTTGTAGAATCTGCAAGAGGATATTTGCATAGCTTTGAGGATTTCGTGGGAAACGGGATTGTCTTCAGGTAAAATCTAGACAGAAGCATTCTCAGAAACTTCTTTGGGATGTTTGCATTCAAGTCACAGAGTAGAACATTCCCTTTGGTAGAGCAGGTTTGAAACACTCTTTTTGTAGTATCTGGAAGTGGACATTTGGAGCGCTTTCAGGCCCATGTTGGAAAGGGAAATATCTTCCCGTAACAACTAGGCAGAAGCATTCTCAGAAACTTATTTGAGATGTGTGTACTCAACTAAGAGAATTGAACCACCGTTTTGAAGGAGCAGTTTTGAAACCCTCTTTTTCTGGAATCTGCAAGAGTATATTTGCCTAGCCTTGAGGATTTCGTTGGAAACGGGATTGTCTTCAGATAAAATCTAGACAGAAGCATTCTCAGAAACTTCTTTGGGATGTTTGCATTCAAGTCACAGAGTAGAACATTCCCTTTGGTAGAGCAGGTTTGAAACACTCTTTTTTTAGTATATGGAAGTGGACATTTGGAGCGCTTTCAGGCCTACGTTGGAAAAGGAAATATCTTCCCATAACAACTAGACAGAAGCATTCTCAGAAACTAGTTTCTGATGTGTGTCCTCAACTAACACAGTTGTACATTTCTTTAGACAGAACAGTTTTGAAACACTCTTTTTGTGGAATCTGCAAGTGGATATTGGGCTAGATTTGAGGATTTCGTTGGAAACGGGATTACATATAAAAAGCAGACAGCAGCATTCTCAGAAAGTTCTTTGTGATGATTGCATTCAAGTCACAGAATTGAACATTCCCTTTCACAGAGCAGGTTTGAAACACTCTTTTTGTAGTGTGTGTAAGTGGACATTTGGAGCACTTACCGGCCTAAGGTGAAAAAGGAAATATCTTCCCATAAAAACTAGACAGAAGCATTCTCAGAAACTTACTCGTGATGTGTGTCCTCAACTAAAGGAGTAGAACCTTTCTATTCATAGAGAAGTTTTGAAACGCTCTTTTTGTGGAATCTCCAAGTGGATATTTGGCTAGTTTTGAGGATTTCGTTGGAAGCGGGAATTCATACAAATTGCAGACTGCAGCGTTCTGAGAAACATCTTTGTGATGTTTGTATTCAGGACACAGAGTTGAACATTCCCTATCATAGAGCAGGTTGGAATCACTCCTTTTGTAGTATCTGGAAGTGGACATTTGGAGCGCTTTCAGGCCTATGTTGGAAAAGGAAATATCTTCCCATAACAACTAGACAGAAGCATTCTCAGAAACTTATTTGAGATGTGTGTACTCAACTAAGAGAATTGAACCACCGTTTTGAAGGAGCAGTTTTGAAACACTCTTTTTCTGGAATCTGCAAGTGGATATTTGGCTAGCTTTGGGGATTTCGCTGGAGGCGGGAATACATATAAAAAGCACACAGCAGCGTTCTGAGAAACTGCTTTCTGATGTTTGCATTCAAGTCAAAATTTGAACACTCCCTTTCATAGAGCAGTCCTGAAACACTCCTTTTGTAGTATCTGGAACTGGACTTTTGGAGCGCTTTCAGGGCTAAGGTGAAAAAGGAAATATCTTCCCATAAAAACTGGACAGAAGCATTCTCAGAAACTTGTTTATGCTGTATCTACTCAACTAACAAAGTTGAACCTTTCTTTTGATAGAGCAGTTTTGAAATGCTCTTTTTGTGGAATCTGCAAGTGGATATTTGGCTAGTTTTGAGGATTTCGTTGGAAGCGGGAATTCATACAAATTGCAGACTGCAGCGTTCTGAGAAACATCTTTGTGATGTTTGTATTCAGGACACAGAGATGAACATTCCCTATCATAGAGCAGGTTGGAATCACTCCTTTTGTAGTATCTGGAAGTGGACATTTGGAGCGGTTTCAGGCCTATGTTGAAAAAGGAAATATCTTCCCATAACAACTAGACACAAGCATTCTCAGAAACTTGTTTGTGATGTGTGCCCTCTACTGACAGAGTTGAACCTTTCTTTTCATAGAGCAGTTTCGAAACACTCTTTTTGTAGAATCTGCAAGAGGATATTTGCATAGCTTTGAGGATTTCGTGGGAAACGGGATTGTCTTCAGGTAAAATCTAGACAGAAGCATTCTCAGAAAATTCCTCGGGATGTTTGCATTCAAGTCACAGAGTAGAACATTCCCTTTGTTAGAGCAGGTTTGAAACACTCTTTTTGTAGTATCTGGAAGTGGACATTTGGAGCGCTTTCAGGCCTATGTTGGAAAGGGAAATATCTTCCCGTAACAACTAGGCAGAAGCATTCTCAGAAACTTATTTGAGATGTGTGTACTCAACTTAAGAGAATTGAACCACCGTTTTGAAGGAGCAGTTTTGAAACACTCTTTTTCTGGAATCTGCAAGAGGATATTTGCATAGCTTTGAGGATTTCGTTGGAAACGGGATTGTCTTCAGATCAAATCTAGACAGAAGCATTCTCAGAAACTTCTTTGGGATGTTTGCATTCAAGTCACAGAGTAGAACATTCCCTTTGGTAGAGCAGGTTTGAAACACTCTTTTTTTAGTATATGGAAGTGGACATTTGGAGCGCTTTCACGCCTACGTTGGAAAAGGAAATATCTTCCCATAACAACTAGACAGAAGCATTCTCAGAAACTAGTTTCTGATGTGTGTCCTCAACTAACAGAGTTGAACATTTCTTTAGACAGAACAGTTTTGAAACACTCTCTTTGTGGAATCTGCAAGTGGATATTTGGCTAGATTTGAGCATTTCGTTGGAAACGGGATTACATATAAAAAGCAGACAGCGGCATTCTCAGAAAGTTCTTTGTGATGATTGCATTCAAGTCACAGAATTGAACATTCCCTTTCACAGAGCAGGTTTGAAACACTCTTTTTGTAGTGTGTGTAAGCGGACATTTGGAGCGCTTTCCGGCCTAAGGTTAAAAAGGAAATATCTTCCCATAAAAAGTAGACAGAAGCATTCTCAGAAACTTACTCGTGATGTGTGTCCTCAACTAAAGGAGTAGAAACTTTCTTTTCATAGAGAAGTTTTGAAACGCTCTTTTTGTGGAATCTGCAAGTGGATATTTGGCTAGTTTTGAGGATTTCATTGGAAGCGGGAATTCATACAAATTGCAGACTGCAGCGTTCTGAGAAACATCTTTGTGATGTTTGTATTCAGGACACAGAGTTGAACATTCCCTATAATAGAGCAGGTTTGAATCACTCCTTTTGTAGTATCTGGAAGTGGACATTTGGAGCGCTTTCAGGCCTATGTTGGAAAAGGAAATACCTTCCCGTAACAACTAGACAGAAGCATTCTCAGAAACTTGTTTATGCTGTATCTACTCAACTAACAAAGTTGAACCTTTCTTTTGATAGAGCAGTTTTGAAATGCTCTTTTTGTGGAATCTGCAAGTGGATATTTGGCTAGTTTTGAGGATTTCGTTGGAAGCGGGAATTCATACAAATTGCAGACTGCAGCGTTCTGAGAAACATCTTTGTGATGTTTGCATTCAGGACAGAGAGTTGAACATTCCCTATCATAGAGCAGGTTGGAATCACTCCTTTTGTAGTATCTGGAAGTGGACATTTGGAGCGCTTTCTGGCCTATGTTGAAAAAGGAAATATCTTCCCATAACAACTAGACACAAGCATTCTCAGAAACTTATTTGAGATGTGTGTACTCAACTAAGAGAATTGAACCACCGTTTTGAAGGAGCAGTTTTGAAACACTCTTTTTCTGGAATCTGCAAGTGGATATTTGGCTAGCTTTGGGGATTTCGCTGGAAGCGGGAATACATATAAAAAGCACACAGCAGCGTTCTGAGAAACTGCTTTCTGATGTTTGCATTCAAGTCAAAAGTTGAACACTCCCTTTCATAGAGCAGTCTTGAAACACCCCTTTTGTAGTATCGGGAACTGGACATTTGGAGCGCTTTCAGGGCTAAGGTGAAAAAGGAAATATCTTCCCATAAAAACTGGACAGAAGCATTCTCAGAAACTTGTTTATGCTGTATCTACTCAACTAACAAAGTTGAACCTTTCTTTTGATAGAGCAGTTTTGAAATGCTCTTTTTGTGGAATCTGCAAGTGGATATTTGGCTAGGTTTGAGGATTTCGTTGGAAGCGGGAATTCATACAAATTGCAGACTGCAGCGTTCTGAGAAACATCTTTGTGATGTTTGTATTCAGGACACAGAGTTGAACATTCCCTATCATAGAGCAGGTTGGAATCACTCCTTTTGTAGTATCTGGAAGTGGACATTTGGAGCGCTTTCAGGCCTATTTTGGAAAGGGAAATATCTTCCCGTAACAACTATGCAGAAGCATTCTCAGAAACTTGTTTGTGATGTGTGCCCTCTACTGACAGAGTTGAACCTTTCTTTTCATAGAGCAGTTTTGAAACACTCTTTTTGTAGAATCCGCAAGAGGATATTTGCATAGCTTTGAGGATTTCGTGGGAAACGGGATTGTCTTCAGGTAAAATCTAGACAGAAGCATTCTCAGAAACTTCTTTGGGATGTTTGCATTCAAGTCACAGAGTAGAACATTCCCTTTGGTAGAGCAGGTTTGAAACACTCTTTTTGTAGTATCTGGAAGTGGACATTTGGAGCGCTTTCAGGCCCATGTTGGAAAGGGAAATATCTTCCCGTAACAACTAGGCAGAAGCATTCTCAGAAACTTATTTGAGATGTGTGTACTCAACTAAGAGAACTGAACCACCGTTTTGAAGGAGCAGTTTTGAAACACTCTTTTTCTGGAATCTGCAAGAGTATATTTGCCTAGCCTTGAGGATTTCGTTGGAAACGGGATTGTCTTCAGATAAAATCTAGACAGAAGCATTCTCAGAAACTTCTTTGAGATGTTTGCATTCAAGTCACAGAGTAGAACATTCCCTTTGGTAGAGCAGGTTTGAAACACTCTTTTTTTAGTATATGGAAGTGGACATTTGGAGCGCTTTCAGGCCTACGTTGGAAAAGGAAATATCTTCCCATAACAACTAGACAGAAGCATTCTCAGAAACTAGTTTTTGATGTGTGTCCTCAACTAACACAGTTGTACATTTCTTTAGACAGAATAGTTTTGAAACACTCTTTTTGTGGAATCTGCAAGTGGATATTGGGCTAGATTTGAGGATTTCGTTGGAAACGGGATTACATATAAAAAGCAGTCAGCAGCATTCTCAGAAAGTTCTTTGTGATGATTGCATTCAAGTCACAGAATTGAACATTCCCTTTCCAGAGCAGGTTTGAAACACTCTTTTTGTAGTGTGTGTAAGTGGACATTTGGAGCGCTTTCCGGCCTAAGGGGAAAAAGGACATGTCTTCCCATAAAAACTAGACAGAAGCATTCTCAGAAACTTACTCGTGATGTGTGTCCTCAACTAAAGGAGTAGCACCTTTCTATTCATAGAGAAGTTTTGAAACGCTCTTTTTGTGGAATCTCCAAGTGGATATTTGGCTAGTGTTGAGGATTTCGTTGGAAGCGGGAATTCATACAAATTGCAGACTGCAGCGTTCTGAGAAACATCTTTGAAATGTTTGTATTCAAGACACAGAGATGAACATTCCCTATCATAGAGCATATTGGAATCACTCCTTTTGTAGTATCTGGAAGTGGACATTTGGAGCGCTTTCAGGCCTATGTTGAAAAAGGAAATATCTTCCCATAACAACTAGACACAAGCATTCTGAGAAACTTGTTTGTGATGTGTGCCCTCTACTGACAGAGTTGAACCTTTCTTTTCATAGAGCAGTTTTGAAACACTCTTTTATAGAATCCGCAAGAGGATATTTGCATAGCATTGAGGATTTCGTGGGAAACGGGATTGTCTTCAGGTAAAATCTAGACAGAAGCATTCTCAGAAACTTCTTTGGGATGTTTGCATTCAAGTCACAGAGTAGAACATTCCCTTTGGTAGAGCAGGTTTGAAACACTCTTTTTGTAGTATCTGGAAGTGGACATTTGGAGCGCTTTCAGGCCCATGTTGGAAAGGGAAATATCTTCCCGTAACAACTAGGCAGAAGCATTCTCAGAAACTTATTTGAGATGTGTGTACTCAACTAAGAGAACTGAACCACCGTTTTGAAGGAGCAGTTTTGAAACACTCTTTTTCTGGAATCTGCAAGAGTATATTTGCCTAGCCTTGAGGATTTCGTTGGAAACGGGATTGTCTTCAGATAAAATCTAGACAGAAGCATTCTCAGAAACTTCTTTGGGATGTTTGCATTCAAGTCACAGAGTAGAACATTCCCTTTGGTAGAGCAGGTTTGAAACACTCTTTTTTTAGTATATGGAAGTGGACATTTGGAGCGCTTTCAGGCCTACGTTGGAAAAGGAAATATCTTCCCATAACAACTAGACAGAAGCATTCTCAGAAACTAGTTTCTGATGTGTGTCCTCAACTAACACAAGTGAACATTTCTTTAGACAGAACAGTTTTGAAACACTCTCTTTGTGGAATCTGCAAGTGGATATTTGGCTAGATTTGAGGATTTCGTTGGAAACGGGATTACATATAAAAAGCAGACAGCAGCATTCTCAGAAACTTCTTTGTGATGATTGCATTCAAGTCACAGAATTGAACATTCCCTTTCACAGAGCAGGTTTGAAACACTCTTTTTGTAGTGTGTGTAAGTGGACATTTGGAGCGCTTTCCGGCCTAAGGTGAACAAGGAAATATCTTCCCATAAAAACTAGACAGAAGCATTCTCAGAAACTTACTCGTGATGTGTGTCCTCAACTAAAGGAGTAGAACCTTTCTTTTCATAGAGAAGTTTTGAAACGCTCTTTTTGTGGAATCTGCAAGTGGATATTTGGCTAGTTTTGAGGATTTCGTTGGAAGCGGGAATTCATAGAAATTGCAGACTGCAGCGTTCTGAGAAACATCTTTGTGATGTTTGTATTCAGGACACAGAGTTGAACGTTCCCTATCATAGAGCAGGTTTGAATCACTCCTTTTGTAGTATCTGGAAGTGGACATTTGGAGCGCTTTCCGGCCTCAGGTGAAAAAGGAAATATCTTCCCATAAAAACTAGACAGAAGCATTCTCAGAAACTTACTCGTGATGTGTGTCCTCAACTAAAGGGGTAGAACCTTTCTTTTGATAGAGCAGTTTTGAAACACTCTTTTTGTAGAATCTGCAAGTGGATATTTCGATAGCTTTGTGGATTTCGTTGGAAACGGGAATATCTTCATATAAAATCTAGAGAGAAGCGTTCTGAGAAACATCTTTGTGATGTTTGTATTCAGGACACAGAGTTGAACATTCCCTATCATAGAGCAGGTTTGAATCACTCCTTTTGTAGTATCTGGAAGTGGACATTTGGAGCGCTTTCAGGCCTATGTTGGAAAAGGAAATATCTTCCCATAACAACTAGACAGAAGCATTCCCAGAAACTTATTTGAGATGTGTGTACTCAACTAAGAGAATTGAACCACCGTTTTGAAGGAGCAGTTTGGAAACACTCTTTTTCTGGAATCTGCAAGTGGATATTTGGCTAGCTTTGGGGATTTCGCTGGAAGCGGGAATACATATAAAAAGCACACAGCAGCGTTCTGAGAAACTGCTTTCTGATGTTTGCATTCAAGTCAAAAGTTGAACACTCCCTTTCATAGAGCAGTCTTGAAACACCCCTTTTGTAGTATCTGGAACTGGAAATTTGGAGCGCTTTCAGGGCTAAGGTGAAAAAGGAAATATCTTCCCATAAAAACTGGACAGAAGCATTCTCAGAAACTTGTTTATGCTGTATCTACTCAACTAACAAAGTTGAACCTTTCTTTTGATAGAGCAGTTTTGAAATGGTCTTTTTGTGGAATCTGCAAGTGGATATTTGGCTAGTTTTGAGGATTTCGTTGGAAGCGGGAATTCATACAAATTGCAGACTGCAGCGTTCTGAGAAACATCTTTGTGATGTTTGTATTCAGGACACAGAGTTGAACATTCCCTATCATAGAGCAGGTTTGAATCACTCCTTTTGTAGTATCTGGAAGTGGACATTTGGAGCGCTTTCAGGCCTATGTTGGAAAAGGAAATATCTTCCCATAACAACTAGACAGAAGCATTCTCAGAAACTTATTTGAGATGTGTGTACTCAACTAAGAGAATTGAACCACCGTTTTGAAGGAGCAGTTTTGAAGCACTCTTTTTCTGGAATCTGCAAGTGGATATTTGGCTAGCTTTGGGGATTTCGCTGGAAGCGGGAATACATATAAAAAGCACACAGCAGCGTTCTGAGAAACTGCTTTCTGATGTTTGCATTCAAGTCAAAAGTTCAACACTCCCTTTCATAGAGCAGTCTTGAAACACCCCTTTTGTAGTATCTGGAACTGGACTTTTGGAGCGATTTCAGGGCTAAGGTGAAAAAGGAAATATCTTCCCATAAAAACTGGACAGAAGCATTCCCAGAAACTTATTTGAGATGTGTGTACTCAACTAAGAGAATTGAACCACCGTTTTGAAGGAGCAGTTTGGAAACACTCTTTTTCTGGAATCTGCAAGTGGATATTTGGCTAGCTTTGGGGATTTCGCTGGAAGCGGGAATATATATAAAAAGCACACAGCAGCGTTCTGAGAAACTGCTTTCTGATGTTTGCATTCAAGTCAAAAGTTGAACACTCCCTTTCATAGAGCAGTCTTGAAACACCCCTTTTGTAGTATCTGGAACTGGACTTTTGGAGCGATTTCAGGGCTAAGGTGAAAAAGGAAATATCTTCCCATAAAAACTGGACAGAAGCATTCTCAGAAACTTGTTTATGCTGTATCTACTCAACTAACAAAGTTGAACCTTTCTTTTGATAGAGCAGTTTTGAAATGGTCTTTTTGTGGAATCTGCAAGTGGATATTTGGCTAGTTTTGAGGATTTCGTTGGAAGCGGGAATTCATACAAATTGCAGACTGCAGCATTCTCAGAAACTTCTTTGTGATGATTGTATTCAGGACACAGAGTTGAACATTCCCTATCATAGAGCAGGTTGGAATCACTCCTTTTGTAGTATCTGGAAGTGGACATTTGGAGCGCTTTCAGGCCTATGTTGAAAAAGGAAATATCTTCCCATAACAACTAGGCAGAAGCATTCTCAGAAACTTGTTTGTGATGTGTGCCTTCTACTGACACAGTTGAACCTTTCTTTTCATAGAGCAGTTTCGAAACACTCTTTTTGTAGAATCTGCAAGAGGATATTTGCATAGATTTGAGGATTTCGTGGGAAACGGGATTGTCTTCAGGTAAAATCTAGACAGAAGCATTCTCAGAAACTTCTTTGGGATGTTTGCATTCAAGTCACAGAGCAGAACATTCCCTTTGGTAGAGCAGGTTTGAAACACTCTTTTTGTAGTATCTGGAAGTGGACATTTGGAGCGCTTTCAGGCCTATGTTGGAAAGGGAAATATCTTCCCGTAACAACTAGGCAGAAGCATTCTCAGAAACTTATTTGAGATGTGTGTACTCAACTAAGAGAATTGAACCACCGTTTTGAAGGAGCAGTTTTGAAACACTCTTTTTCTGGAATCTGCAAGAGGATATTTGCCTAGCCTTGAGGATTTCGTTGGAAACGGGATTGTCTTCAGATCAAATCTAGACAGAAGCATTCTCAGAAACTTCTTTGGGATGTTTGCATTCAAGTCACAGAGTAGAACATTCCCTTTGGTAGAGCAGGTTTGAAACACTCTTTTTTTAGTATATGGAAGTGGACATTTGGAGCGCTTTCAGGCCTACGTTGGAAAAGGAAATATCTTCCCATAACAACTAGACAGAAGCATTCTCAGAAACTAGTTTCTGATGTGTGTCCTCAACTAACACAGTTGAACATTTCTTTAGACAGAACAGTTTTGAAACACTCTTTTTGTGGAATCTGCAAGTGGCTATTTGGCTAGATTTGAGGATTTCGTTGGAAACGGGATTACATATAAAAAGCAGTCAGCAGCATTCTCAGAAAGTTCTTTGTGATGATTCCATTCAAGTCACAAAATTGAACATTCCCTTTCACAGAGCAGGTTTGAAACACTCTTTTTGTAGTGTGTGTAAGTGGACATTTGGAGCACTTTCCGGCCTAAGGTGAAAAAGGAAATATCTTCCCATAAAAACTAGACAGAAGCATTCTCAGAAACTTACTCGTGATGTGTGTCCTCAACTAAAGGAGTAGAACCTTTCTTTTCATAGAGAAGTTTTGAAACGCTCTTTTTGTGGAATCTGCAAGTGGATATTTGGCTAGTTTGGAGGATTTCGTTGGAAGCGGGAATTCATACAAATTGCAGACTGCAGCGTTCTGAGAAACATCTTTGTGATGTTTGTATTCAGGACACAGAGTTGAACATTCCCTATCATAGAGCAGGTTTGAATCACTCCTTTTGTAGTATCTGGAAGTGGACATTTGGAGCGCTTTCAGGCCCTATGTTGGAAAAGGAAATATCTTCCCATAACAACTAGACAGAAGCATTCTCAGAAACTTATTTGAGATGTGTGTACTCAACTAAGAGAATTGAACCACCGTTTTGAAGGAGCAGTTTTGAAACACTCTTTTTCTGGAATCTGCAAGTGGATATTTGGCTAGCTTTGGGGATTTCGCTGGAAGCGGGAATACATATAAAAAGCACACAGCAGCGTTCTGAGAAACTGCTTTCTGATGTTTGCATTCAAGTCAAAAGTTGAACACTCCCTTTCATAGAGCAGTCCTGAAACACTCCTTTTGTAGTATCTGGAACTGGACTTTTGGAGCGCTTTCAGGGCTAAGGTGAAAAAGGAAATATCTTCCCATAAAAACTGGACAGAAGCATTCTCAGAAACTTGTTTATGCTGTATCTACTCAACTAACAAAGTTGAACCTTTCTTTTGATAGAGCAGTTTTGAAATGCTCTTTTTGTGGAATCTGCAAGTGGATATTTGGCTAGTTTTGAGGATTTCGTTGGAAGCGGGATTTCATACAAATTGCAGACTGCAGCGTTCTGAGAAACATCTTTGTGATGTTTGTATTCAGGACAGAGAGTTGAACATTCCCTATCATAGAGCAGGTTGGAATCACTCCTTTTGTAGTATCTGGAAGTGGACATTTGGAGCGCTTTCAGGCCTATGTTGAAAAAGGAAATATCTTCCCATAACAACTAGACACAAGCATTCTCAGAAACTTGTTTGTGATGTGTGCCCTCTACTGACAGAGTTGAACCTTTCTTTTCATAGAGCAGTTTTGAAACACTCTTTTTGTAGAATCTGCAAGAGGATATTAGCATAGCTTTGAGGATTTCGTGGGAAACGGGATTGTCTTCAGGTAAAATCTAGACAGAAGCATTCTCAGAAACTTCTTTGGGATGTTTGCATTCAAGTCACAGAGTAGAACATTCCCTTTGGTAGAGCAGGTTTGAAACACTCTTTTTGTAGTATCTGGAAGTGGACATTTGGAGCGCTTTCAGGCCCATGTTGGAAAGGGAAATATCTTCCCGTAACTACTAGGCAGAAGCATTCTCAGAAACTTATTTGAGATGTGTGTACTCAACTAAGAGAATTGAACCACCGTTTTGAAGGAGCAGTTTTGAAACCCTCTTTTTCTGGAATCTGCAAGAGTATATTTGCCTAGCCTTGAGGATTTCGTTGGAAACGGGACTGTCTTCAGATAAAATCTAGACAGAAGCATTCTCAGAAACTTCTTTGGGATGTTTGCATTCAAGTCACAGAGTAGAACATTCCCTTTGGTAGAGCAGGTTTGAAACACTCTTTTTTTAGTATATGGAAGTGGACATTTGGAGCGCTTTCAGGCCTACGTTGGAAAAGGAAATATCTTCCCATAACAACTAGACAGAAGCATTCTCAGAAACTAGTTTCTGATGTGTGTCCTCAACTAACACAGTTGTACATTTCTTTAGACAGAACAGTTTTGAAACACTCTTTTTGTGGAATCTGCAAGTGGATATTGGGCTAGATTTGAGGATTTCGTTGGAAACGGGATTACATATAAAAAGCAGTCAGCAGCATTCTCAGAAAGTTCTTTGTGATGATTGCATTCAAGTCACAGAATTGAACATTCCCTTTCACAGAGCAGGTTTGAAACACTCTTTTTGTAGTGTGTGTAAGTGGACATTTGGAGCGCTTTCCGGCCTAAGGTGAAAAAGGACATATCTTCCCATAAAAACTAGACAGAAGCATTCTCAGAAACTTACTCGTGATGTGTGTCCTCAACTAAAGGAGTAGCACCTTTCTATTCATAGAGAAGTTTTGAAACGCTCTTTTTGTGGAATCTCCAAGTGGATATTTGGCTAGTGTTGAGGATTTCGTTGGAAGCGGGAATTCATACAAATTGCAGACTGCAGCGTTCTGAGAAACATCTTTGAAATGTTTGTATTCAAGACACAGAGATGAACATTCCCTATCATAGAGCATATTGGAATCACTCCTTTTGTAGTATCTGGAAGTGGACATTTGGAGCGCTTTCAGGCCTATGTTGAAAAAGGAAATATCTTCCCATAACAACTAGACACAAGCATTCTGAGAAACTTGTTTGTGATGTGTGCCCTCTACTGACAGAGTTGAACCTTTCTTTTCATAGAGCAGTTTTGAAACACTCTTTTATAGAATCCGCAAGAGGATATTTGCATAGCATTGAGGATTTCGTGGGAAACGGGATTGTCTTCAGGTAAAATCTAGACAGAAGCATTCTCAGAAACTTCTTTGGGATGTTTCTATTCAAGTCACAGAGTAGAACATTCCCTTTGGTAGAGCAGGTTTGAAACACTCTTTTTGTAGTATCTGGAAGTGGACATTTGGAGCGCTTTCAGGCCTATGTTGGAAAGGGAAATATCTTCCCGTAACAACTAGGCAGAAGCATTCTCAGAAACTTATTTGAGATGTGTGTACTCAACTAAGAGAATTGAACCACCGTTTTGAAGGAGCAGTTTTGAAACACTCTTTTTCTGGAATCTGCAAGAGGATATTTGCCTAGCCTTGAGGATTTCGTTGGAAACGGGATTGTCTTCAGATCAAATCTAGACAGAAGCATTCTCAGAAACTTCTTTGGGATGTTTGCATTCAAGTCACAGAGTAGAACATTCCCTTTGGTAGAGCAGGTTTGAAACACTCTTTTTTTAGTATATGGAAGTGGACATTTGGAGCGCTTTCAGGCCTACGTTGGAAAAGGAAATATCTTCCCATAACAACTAGACAGAAGCATTCTCAGAAACTAGTTTCTGATGTGTGTCCTCAACTAACACAGTTGAACATTTCTTTAGACAGAACAGTTTTGAAACACTCTTTTTGTGGAATCTGCAAGTGGCTATTTGGCTAGATTTGAGGATTTCGTTGGAAACGGGATTACATATAAAAAGCAGACAGCAGCATTCTCAGAAAGTTCTTTGTGATGATTGCATTCAAGTCACAGAATTGAACATTCCCTTTCACAGAGCAGGTTTGAAACACTCTTTTTGTAGTGTGTGTAAGTGGACATTTGGAGCACTTTCCGGCCTAAGGTGAAAAAGGAAATATCTTCCCATAAAAACTAGACAGAAGCATTCTCAGAAACTTACTCGTGATGTGTGTCCTCATCTAAAGAAGTAGAACCTTTCTTTTCATAGATAAGTTTTGAAACGCTCTTTTTGTGGAATCTGCAAGTGGATATTTGGCTAGTTTTGAGGATTTCGTTGGAAGCGGGAATTCATACAAATTGCAGACTGCAGCGTTCTGAGAAACATCTTTGTGATGTTTGTATTCAGGACACAGAGTTGAACATTCCCTATCATAGAGCAGGTTGGAATCACTCCTTTTGTAGTATCTGGAAGTGGACATTTGGAGCGCTTTCAGGCCTATGTTGGAAAAGGAAATATCTTCCCATAACAACTAGACAGAAGCATTCTCAGAAACTTATTTGAGATGTGTGTACTCAACTAAGAGAATTGAACCACCGTTTTGAAGGAGCAGTTTTGAAACACTCTTTTTCTGGAATCTGCAAGTGGATATTTGGCTAGCTTTGGGGATTTCGCTGGAGGCGGGAATACATATAAAAAGCACACAGCAAGCGTTCTGAGAAACTGCTTTCTGATGTTTGCATTCAAGTCAAAAGTTGAACACTCCCTTTCATAGAGCAGTCCTGAAACACTCCTTTTGTAGTATCTGGAACTGGACTTTTGGAGCGCTTTCAGGGCTAAGGTGAAAAAGGAAATATCTTCCCATAAAAACTGGACAGAAGCATTCTCAGAAACTTGTTTATGCTGTATCTACTCAACTAACAAAGTTGAACCTTTCTTTTGATAGAGCAGTTTTGAAATGGTCTTTTTGTGGAATCTGCAAGTGGATATTTGGCTAGTTTTGAGGATTTCGTTGGAAGCGGGAATTCATACAAATTGCAGACTGCAGCGTTCTGAGAAACATCTTTGTGATGTTTGTATTCAGGACACAGAGTTGAACATTCCCTATCATAGAGCAGGTTTGAATCACTCCTTTTGTAGTATCTGGAAGTGGACATTTGGAGCGCTTTCAGGCCTATGTTGGAAAAGGAAATATCTTCCCATAACAACTAGACAGAAGCATTCTCAGAAACTTATTTGAGATGTGTGTACTCAACTAAGAGAATTGAACCACCGTTTTGAAGGAGCAGTTTTGAAACACTCTTTTTCTGGAATCTGCAAGTGGATATTTGGCTAGCTTTGGGGATTTCGCTGGAAGCGGGAATACATATAAAAAGCACACAGCAGCGTTCTGAGAAACTGCTTTCTGATGTTTGCATTCAAGTCAAAAGTTGAACACTCCCTTTCATAGAGCAGTCCTGAAACACCCCTTTTGTAGTATCTGGAACTGGACTTTTGGAGCGCTTTCAGGGCTAAGGTGAAAAAGGAAATATCTTCCCATAAAAACTGGACAGAAACATTCTCAGAAACTTG
This sequence comes from Homo sapiens, assembly GCF_000001405.40. Classification (NCBI taxonomy): domain Eukaryota; kingdom Metazoa; phylum Chordata; class Mammalia; order Primates; family Hominidae; genus Homo; species Homo sapiens. The sequence goes on from NC_000018.10 coordinate 18,898,367, forward strand.
TTTATGCTGTATCTACTCAACTAACAAAGTTGAACCTTTCTTTTGATAGAGCAGTTTTGAAATGCTCTTTTTGTGGAATCTGCAAGTGGATATTTGGCTAGTTTTGAGGATTTCGTTGGAAGCGGGAATTCATACAAATTGCAGACTGCAGCGTTCTGAGAAACATCTTTGTGATGTTTGTATTCAGGACAGAGAGTTGAACATTCCCTATCATAGAGCAGGTTGGAATCACTCCTTTTGTAGTATCTGGAAGTGGACATTTGGAGCGCTTTCAGGCCTATGTTGAAAAAGGAAATATCTTCCCATAACAACTAGACACAAGCATTCTCAGAAACTTGTTTGTGATGTGTGCCCTCTACTGACAGAGTTGAACCTTTCTTTTCATAGAGCAGTTTTGAAACACTCTTTTTGTAGAATCTGCAAGAGGATATTTGCATAGCTTTGAGGATTTCGTGGGAAACGGGATTGTCTTCAGGTAAAATCTAGACAGAAGCATTCTCAGAAACTTCTTTGGGATGTTTGCATTCAAGTCACAGAGTAGAACATTCCCTTTGGTAGAGCAGGTTTGAAACACTCTTTTTGTAGTATCTGGAAGTGGACATTTGGAGCGCTTTCAGGCCTATGTTGGAAAGGGAAATATCTTCCCGTAACAACTAGGCAGAAGCATTCTCAGAAACTTATTTGAGATGTGTGTACTCAACTAAGAGAATTGAATCACCGTTTTGAAGGAGCAGTTTTGAAACACTCTTTTTCTGGAATCTGCAAGAGGATATTTGCCTAGCCTTGAGGATTTCGTTGGAAACGGGATTGTCTTCAGATCAAATCTAGACAGAAGCATTCTCAGAAACTTCTTTGGGATGTTTGCATTCAAGTCACAGAGTAGAACATTCCCTTTGGTAGAGCAGGTTTGAAACACTCTTTTTTTAGTATATGGAAGTGGACATTTGGAGCGCTTTCAGGCCTACGTTGGAAAAGGAAATATCTTCCCATAACAACTAGACAGAAGCATTCTCAGAAACTAGTTTCTGATGTGTGTCCTCAACTAAAACAGTTGAACATTTCTTTAGACAGAACAGTTTTGAAACACTCTTTTTGTGGAATCTGCAAGAGGCTATTTGGCTAGATTTGAGGATTTCGTTGGAAACGGGATTACATATAAAAAGCAGTCAGCAGCATTCTCAGAAAGTTCTTTGTGATGATTGCATTCAAGTCACAGAATTGAACATTCCCTTTCACAGAGCAGGTTTGAAACACTCTTTTTGTAGTGTGTGTAAGTGGACATTTGGAGCACTTACCGGCCTAAGGTGAAAAAGGAAATATCTTCCCATAAAAACTAGACAGAAGCATTCTCAGAAACTTACTCGTGATGTGTGTCCTCAACTAAAGGAGTAGAACCTTTCTATTCATAGAGAAGTTTTGAAACGCTCTTTTTGTGGAATCTCCAAGTGGATATTTGGCTAGTCTTGAGGATTTCGTTGGAAGCGGGAATTCATACAAATTGCAGACTGCAGCGTTCTGAGAAACATCTTTGTGATGTTTGTATTCAGGACACAGAGATGAACATTCCCTATCATAGAGCAGGTTGGAATCACTCCTTTTGTAGTATCTGGAAGTGGACATTTGGAGCGCTTTCAGGCCTATGTTGAAAAAGGAAATATCTTCCCATAACAACTAGACACAAGCATTCTCAGAAACTTATTTGAGATGTGTGTACTCAACTAAGAGAATTGAACCACCGTTTTGAAGGAGCAGTTTTGAAACACTCTTTTTCTGGAATCTGCAAGTGGATATTTGGCTAGCTTTGGGGATTTCGCTGGAAGCGGGAATACATATAAAAAGCACACAGCAGCGTTCTGAGAAACTGCTTTCTGATGTTTGCATTCAAGTCAAAAGTTGAACACTCCCTTTCATAGAGCAGTCTTGAAACACCCCTTTTGTAGTATCTGGAACTGGAAATTTGGAGCGCTTTCAGGGCTAAGGTGAAAAAGGAAATATCTTCCCATAAAAACTGGACAGAAGCATTCTCAGAAACTTGTTTATGCTGTATCTGCTCAACTAACAAAGTTGAACCTTTCTTTTGATAGAGCAGTTTTGAAATGCTCTTTTTGTGGAATCTGCAAGTGGATATTTGGCTAGTTTTGAGGATTTCGTTGGAAGCGGGAATTCGTACAAATTGCAGACTGCAGCGTTCTGAGAAACATCTTTGTGATGTTTGTATTCAGGACACAGAGTTGAACATTCCCTATCATAGAGCAGGTTGGAATCACTCCTTTTGTAGTATCTGGAAGTGGACATTTGGAGCGCTTTCAGGCCTATGTTGAGAAAGGAAATATCTTCCCATAAAAACTAGACACAAGCATTCTCAGAAACTTGTTTGTGATGTGTGCCCTCTACTGACAGAGTTGAACCTTTCTTTTCATAGAGCAGTTTTGAAACACTCTTTTTGTAGAATCTGCAAGAGGATATTTGCATAGCTTTGAGGTTTTCGTGGGAAACGGGATTGTCTTCAGGTAAAATCTAGACAGAAGCATTCTCAGAAACTTCTTTGGGATGTTTGCATTCAAGTCACAGAGTAGAACATTCCCTTTGGTAGAGCAGGTTTGAAACACTCTTTTTGTAGTATCTGGAAGTGGACATTTGGAGCGCTTTCAGGCCTATGTTGGAAAGGGAAATATCTTCCCGTAACAACTAGGCAGAAGCATTCTCAGAAACTTATTTGAGATGTGTGTACTCAACTAAGAGAATTGAACCACCGTTTTGAAGGAGCAGTTTTGAAACACTCTTTTTCTGGAATCTGCAAGAGGATATTTGCCTAGCCTTGAGGATTTCGTTGGAAACGGGATTTTCTTCAGATAAAATCTAGACAGAAGCATTCTCAGAAACTTCTTTGGGATGTTTGCATTCAAGTCACAGAGTAGAACATTCCCTTTGGTAGAGCAGGTTTGAAACACTCTTTTTTTAGTATATGGAAGTGGACATTTGGAGCGCTTTCAGGCCTACGTTGGAAAAGGAAATATCTTCCCATAACAACTAGACAGAAGCATTCTCAGAAACTAGTTTCTGATGTGTGTCCTCAACTAACACAGTTGAACTTTTCTTTAGACAGAACAGTTTTGAAACACTCTTTTTGTAGAATTTGCAAGTGGATATTTGGCTAGATTTGAGGATTTCGTTGGAAACGGGATTACATATAAAAAGCAGACAGCAGCATTCTCAGAAAGTTCTTTGTGATGATTGCATTCAAGTCACAGAATTGAACATTCCCTTTCACAGAGCAGGTTTGAAACACTCTTTTTGTAGTGTGTGTAAGTGGACATTTGGAGCACTTACCGGCCTAAGGTGAAAAAGGAAATATCTTCCCATAAAAACTAGACAGAAGCATTCTCAGAAACTTACTCGTGATGTGTGTCCTCAACTAAAGGAGTAGAACCTTTCTTTTCATAGAGAAGTTTTGAAACGCTCTTTTTGTGGAATCTGCAAGTGGATATTTGGCTAGTTTGGAGGATTTCGTTGGAAGCGGGAATTCATACAAGATGCAGACTGCAGCGTTCTGAGAAACATCTTTGTGATGTTTGTATTCAGGACACAGAGTTGAACATTCCCTATCATAGAGCAGGTTTGAATCACTCCTTTTGTAGTATCTGGAAGTGGACATTTGGAGCGCTTTCAGGCCTATGTTGGAAAAGGAAATATCTTCCCATAACAACTAGACAGAAGCATTCCCAGAAACTTATTTGAGATGTGTGTACTCAACTATGAGAATTGAACCACCGTTTTGAAGGAGCAGTTTGGAAACACTCTTTTTCTGGAATCTGCAAGTGGATATTTGGCTAGCTTTGGGGATTTCGCTGTAAGCGGGAATACATATAAAAAGCACACAGCCAGCGTTCTGAGCAAACTGCTTTCTGATGTTTGCATTCAAGTCAAAAGTTGAACACTCCCTTTCATAGAGCAGTCTTGAAACACCCCTTTTGTAGTATCTGGAACTGGACTTTTGGAGCGATTTCAGGGCTAAGGTGAAAAAGGAAATATCTTCCCATAAAAACTGGACAGAAGCATTCTCAGAAACTTGTTTATGCTGTATCTACTCAACTAACAAAGTTGAACCTTTCTTTTGATAGAGCAGTTTTGAAATGGTCTTTTTGTGGAATCTGCAAGTGGATATTTGGCTAGTTTTGAGGATTTCGTTGGAAGCGGGAATTCATACAAATTGCAGACTGCAGCGTTCTGAGAAACATCTTTGTGATGTTTGTATTCAGGACACAGAGTTGAACATTCCCTATCATAGAGCAGGTTGTAATCACTCCTTTTGTAGTATCTGGAAGTGGACATTTGGAGCGCTTTCAGGCCCATGTTGGAAAAGGAAATATCTTCCTGTAACAACTAGGCAGAAGCATTCTCAGAAACTTGTTTGTGATGTGTGCCCTCTACTGACAGAGTTGAACCTTTCTTTTCATAGAGCAGTTTTGAAACACTCTTTTTGTAGAATCTGCAAGAGGATATTTGCATAGCTTTGAGGATTTCGTGGGAAAAGGGATTGTCTTCAGGTAAAATCTAGACAGAAGCATTCTCAGAAACTTCTTTGGGATGTTTGCATTCAAGTCACAGAGTAGAACATTCCCTTTGGTAGAGCAGGTTTGAAACACTCTTTTTGTAGTATCTGGAAGTGGACATTTGGAGCGCTTTCAGGCCCATGTTGGAAAAGGAAATATCTTCCCGTAACAACTAGGCAGAAGCATTCTCAGAAACTTATTTGAGATGTGTGTACTCAACTAAGAGAATTGAACCACCGTTTTGAAGGAGCAGTTTTGAAACACTCTTTTTCTGGAATCTGCAAGAGTATATTTGCCTAGCCTTGAGGATTTCGTTGGAAACGGGATTGTCTTCAGAGAAAATCTAGACAGAAGCATTCTCAGAAACTTCTTTGGGATGTTTGCATTCAAGTCACAGAGTAGAACATTCCCTTTGGTAGAGCAGGTTTGAAACACTCTTTTTTTAGTATATGGAAGTGGACATTTTGATCGCTTTCAGGCCTACGTTGGAAAAGGAAATATCTTCCCATAACAACTAGACAGAAGCATTCTCAGAAACTAGTTTCTGATGTGTGTCCTCAACTAACACAGTTGAACATTTCTTTAGACAGAACAGTTTTGAAACACTCTTTTTGTGGAATCTGCAAGTGGCTATTTGGCTAGATTTGAGGATTTCGTTAGAAACGGGATTACATATAAAAAGCAGTCAGCAGCATTCTCAGAAAGTTCTTTGTGATGATTGCATTCAAGTCACAGAATTGAACATTCCCTTTCACAGAGCAGGTTTGAAACACTCTTTTTGTAGTGTGTGTAAGTGGACATTTGGAGCACTTACCGGCCTAAGGTGAAAAAGGAAATATCTTCCCATAAAAACTAGACAGATAAGCATTCTCAGCAAACTTACTCGTGATGTGTGTCCTCAACTAAAGGAGTAGAACCTTTCTTTTCATAGAGAAGTTTTGAAACGCTCTTTTTGTGGAATCTGCAAGTGGATATTTGGCTAGTTTTGAGGATTTCGTTGGAAGCGGGAATTCATACAAATTGCAGACTGCAGCGTTCTGAGAAACATCTTTGTGATGTTTGTATTCAGGACACAGAGTTGAACATTCCCTATCATAGAGCAGGTTTGAATCACTCCTTTTGTAGTATCTGGAAGTGGACATTTGGAGCGCTTTCAGGCCTATGTTGGAAAAGGAAATATCTTCCCATAACAACTAGACAGAAGCATTCTCAGAAACTTATTTGAGATGTGTGTACTCAACTAAGAGAATTGAACCACCGTTTTGAAGGAGCAGTTTTGAAACACTCTTTTTCTGGAATCTGCAAGTGGATATTTGGCTAGCTTTGGGGATTTCGCTGGAAGCGGGAATACATATAAAAAGCACACAGCAGCGTTCTGAGAAACTGCTTTCTGATGTTTGCATTCAAGTCAAAAGTTGAACACTCCCTTTCATAGAGCAGTCTTGAAACACCCCTTTTGTAGTATCTGGAACTGGACTTTTGGAGCGATTTCAGGGCTAAGGTGAAAAAGGAAATATCTTCCCATAAAAACTGGACAGAAGCATTCTCAGAAACTTGTTTATGCTGTATCTACTCAACTAACAAAGTTGAACCTTTCTTTTGATAGAGCAGTTTTGAAATGGTCTTTTTGTGGAATCTGCAAGTGGATATTTGGCTAGTTTTGAGGATTTCGTTGGAAGCGGGAATTCATACAAATTGCAGACTGCAGCGTTCTGAGAAACATCTTTGTGATGTTTGTATTCAGGACACAGAGTTGAACATTCCCTATCATAGAGCAGGTTGGAATCACTCCTTTTGTAGTATCTGGAAGTGGACATTTGGAGCGCTTTCAGGCCTATGTTGGAAAAGGAAATATCTTCCCATAAACAACTAGACAGAAGCATTCTCAGAAACTTATTTGAGATGTGTGTACTCAACTAAGAGAATTGAACCACCGTTTTGAAGGAGCAGTTTTGAAACTCTCTTTTTCTGGAATCTGCAAGTGGATATTTGGCTAGCTTTGGGGATTTCGCTGGAAGCGGGAATACATATAAAAAGCACACAGCAGCGTTCTGAGAAACTGCTTTCTGATGTTTGCATTCAAGTCAAAAGTTGAACACTCCCTTTCATAGAGCAGTCTTGAAACACCCCTTTTGTAGTATCTGGAACTGGACTTTTGGAGCGATTTCAGGGCTAAGGTGAAAAAGGAAATATCTTCCCATAAAAACTGGACAGAAGCATTCTCAGAAACTTGTTTATGCTGTATCTACTCAACTAACAAAGTTGAACCTTTCTTTTGATAGAGCAGTTTTGAAATGGTCTTTTTGTGGAATCTGCAAGTGGATATTTGGCTAGTTTTGAGGATTTCGTTGGAAGCGGGAATTCATACAAATTGCAGACTGCAGCGTTCTGAGAAACATCTTTGTGATGTTTGTATTCAGGACACAGAGATGAACATTCCCTATCATAGAGCAGGTTGGAATCACTCCTTTTGTAGTATCTGGAAGTGGACATTTGGAGCGCTTTCAGGCCTATGTTGAAAAAGGAAATATCTTCCCATAACAACTAGACACAAGCATTCTCAGAAACTTGTTTGTGATGTGTGCCCTCTACTGACAGAGTTGAACCTTTCTTTTCATAGAGCAGTTTTGAAACACTCTTTTTGTAGAATCCGCAAGAGGATATTTGCATAGCTTTGAGGATTTCGTGGGAAACGGGATTGTCTTCAGGTAAAATCTAGACAGAAGCATTCTCAGAAACTTCTTTGGGATGTTTGCATTCAAGTCACAGAGTAGAACATTCCCTTTGGTAGAGCAGGTTTGAAACACTCTTTTTGTAGTATCTGGAAGTGGACATTTGGAGCGCTTTCAGGCCCATGTTGGAAAGGGAAATATCTTCCCGTAACAACTAGGCAGAAGCATTCTCAGAAACTTATTTGAGATGTGTGTACTCAACTAAGAGAATTGAACCACCGTTTTGAAGGAGCAGTTTTGAAACACTCTTTTTCTGGAATCTGCAAGAGGATATTTGCCTAGCCTTGAGGATTTCGTTGGAAACGGGATTGTCTTCAGAGAAAATCTAGACAGAAGCATTCTCAGAAACTTCTTTGGGATGCTTGCATTCAAGTCACAGAGTAGAACATTCCCTTTGGTAGAGCAGGTTTGAAACACTCTTTTTGTAGTATCTGGAAGTGGACATTTGGAGCGCTTTCAGGCCTACGTTGGAAAAGGAAATATCTTCCCATAACAACTAGACAGAAGCATTCTCAGAAACTAGTTTCTGATGTGTGTCCTCAACTAACAGAGTTGAACATTTCTTTAGACAGAACAGTTTTGAAACACTCTTTTTGTGGAATCTGCAAGTGGCTATTTGGCTAGATTTGAGGATTTCGTTGGAAACGGGATTACATATAAAAAGCAGTCAGCAGCATTCTCAGAAAGTTCTTTGTGATGATTGCATTCAAGTCACAGAATTGAACATTCCCTTTCACAGAGCAGGTTTGAAACACTCTTTTTGTAGTGTGTGTAAGTGGACATTTGGAGCACTTTCCGGCCTAAGGTGAAAAAGGAAATATCTTCCCATAAAAACTAGACAGAAGCATTCTCAGAAACTTACTCGTGATGTGTGTCCTCAACTAAAGGAGTAGAACCTTTCTATTCATAGAGAAGGTTTGAAACGCTCTTTTTGTGGAATCTCCAAGTGGATATTTGGCTAGTTTTGAGGATTTCGTTGGATGCGGGAATTCATACAAATTGCAGACTGCAGCGTTCTGAGAAACATCTTTGTGATGTTTGTATTCAGGACACAGAGATGAACATTACCTATCATAGAGCAGGTTGGAATCACTCCTTTTGTAGTATCTGGAAGTGGACATTTGGAGCGCTTTCAGGCCTATGTTGAAAAAGGAAATATCTTCCCATAACAACTAGACACAAGCATTCTCAGAAACTTGTTTGTGATGTGTGCCCTCTGCTGACAGAGTTGAACCTTTCTTTTCATAGAGCAGTTTTGAAACACTCTTTTTGTAGAATCTGCAAGAGGATATTTGCATAGCTTTGAGGATTTCGTGGGAAACGGGATTGTCTTCAGGTAAAATCTAGACAGAAGCATTCTCAGAAACTTCTTTGGGATGTTTGCATTCAAGTCACAGAGTAGAACATTCCCTTTGGTAGAGCAGGTTTGAAACCCTCTTTTTGTAGTATCTGGAAGTGGACATTTGGAGCGCTTTCAGGCCCATGTTGGAAAGGGAAATATCTTCCCGTAACAACGAGGCAGAAGCATTCTCGGAAACTTATTTGAGATGTGTGTACTCAACTAAGAGAATTGAACCACCCTTTTGAAGGAGCAGTTTTGAAACACTCTTTTTCTGGAATCTGCAAGAGTATATTTGCCTAGCTTTGAGGATTTCCGTTGGAAACGGGATTGTCTTCAGATCAAATCTAGACAGAAGCATTCTCAGAAACTTCTTTGGGATGTTTGCATTCAAGTCACAGAGTAGAACATTCCCTTTGGTAGAGCAGGTTTGAAACACTCTTTTTGTAGTGTGTGTAAGTGGACATTTGGAGCGCTTTCTGGCCTACGTTGGAAAAGGAAATATCTTCCCATAACAACTAGACAGAAGCATTCTCAGAAACTAGTTTCTGATGTGTGTCCTCAACTAACACAGTTGAACATTTCTTTAGACAGAACAGTTTTGAAACACTCTTTTTGTGGAATCTGCAAGTGGATATTTGGCTACATTTGAGGATTTCGTTGGAAACGGGATTACATATAAAAAGCAGACAGCAGCATTCTCAGAAACTTCTTTGTGATGATTGCCTTCAAGTCACAGAATTGAACATTCCTTTTCACAGAGCAGGTTTGAAACACTCTTTTTGTAGTGTGTGTAAGTGGACATTTGGAGCGCTTTCCGGCCTAAGGTGAACAAGGAAATATCTTCCCATAAAAACTAGACAGAAGCATTCTCAGAAACTTACTCGTGATGTGTGTCCTCAACTAAAGGAGTAGAACCTTTCTTTTCATAGAGAAGTTTTGAAACGCTCTTTTTGTGGAATCTGCAAGTGGATATTTGGCTAGTTTGGAGGATTTCGTTGGAAGCGGGAATTCATACAAATTGCAGACTGCAGCGTTCTGAGAAACATCTTTGTGATGTTTGTATTCAGGACACAGAGTTGAACATTCCCTATCATAGAGCAGGTTGGAATCACTCCTTTTGTAGTATCTGGAAGTGGACATTTGGAGCGCTTTCAGGCCTATGTTGGAAAAGGAAATATCTTCCCATAACAACTAGACAGAAGCATTCTCAGAAACTTATTTGAGATGTGTGTACTCAACTAAGAGAATTGAACCACCGTTTTGAAGGAGCAGTTTTGAAACACTCTTTTTCTGGAATCTGCAAGTGGATATTTGGCTAGCTTTGGGGATTTCGCTGGAGGCGGGAATACATATAAAAAGCACACAGCAGCGTTCTGAGAAACTGCTTTCTGATGTTTGCATTCAAGTCAAAAGTTGAACACTCCCTTTCATAGAGCAGTCCTGAAACACTCCTTTTGTAGTATCTGGAACTGGACTTTTGGAGCGCTTTCAGGGCTAAGGTGAAAATGGAAATATCTTCCCATAAAAACTGGACAGAAGCATTCTCAGAAACTTGTTTATGCTGTATCTACTCAACTAACAAAGTTGAACCTTTCTTTTGATAGAGCAGTTTTGAAATGCTCTTTTTGTGGAATCTGCAAGTGGATATTTGGCTAGTTTTGAGGATTTCGCTGGAAGCGGGAATTCATACAAATTGCAGACTGCAGCGTTCTGAGAAACATCTTTGTGATGTTTGTATTCAGGACACAGAGTTGAACATTCCCTATCATAGAGCAGGTTGGGATCACTCCTTTTGTAGTATCTGGAAGTGGACATTTGGAGCGCTTTCAGGCCTATGTTGGAAAAGGAAAAATCTTCCCATAACAACTAGACAGAAGCATTCTCAGAAACTTTTTGGTGATGTGTTTCCTCTACTGACAGAGTTGAACCTTTCTTTTCATACAGCAGTTTCGAAACACTCTTTTTGTAGAATCTGCAAGAGGATATTTGCATAGCTCTGAGGATTTCGTGGGAAACGGGATTGTCTTCAGGTAAAATCTAGACAGAAGCATTCTCAGAAACTTCTTCGGGATGTTTGCATTCAAGTCACAGAGTAGAACATTCCCTTCGGTAGAGCAGGTTTGAAACACTCTTTTTGTAGTATCTGGAAGTGGACATTTGTTGCGCTTTCAGGCCTATGTTGGAAAGGGAAATATCTTCCCGTAACAACTACGCAGAAGCATTCTCAGAAACTTATTTGAGATGTGTGTACTCAACTAAGAGAATTGAACCACCGTTTTGAAGGAGCAGTTTGGAAACACTCTTTTTCTGGAATCTGCAAGAGGATATTTGCCTAGCTTTGAGGATTTCGTTGGAAAAGGGATTGTCTTCAGATCAAATCTAGACAGAAGCATTCTCAGAAACTTCTTTGGGATGTTTGCATTCATGTCACAGAGTAGAACATTCCCTTTGGTAGAGCAGGTTTGAAACACTCTTTTTTTAGTATATGGAAGTGGACATTTGGAGCGCTTCAGGCCTACGTTGGAAAAGGAAATATCTTCCCATAACAACTAGACAGAAGCATTCTCAGAAACTAGTTTCTTATGTGTGTCCTGAACTAACACAGTTGAACATTTCTTTAGACAGAACAGTTTTGAAACACTCTTTTTGTGGAATTTGCAAGTGGATATTTGGCTAGATTTGAGCATTTCGTTGGAAACGGGATTACATATAAAAAGCAGACAGCGGCATTCTCAGAAAGTTCTTTGTGATGATTGCATTCAAGTCACAGAATTGAACATTCCCTTTCACAGAGCAGGTTTGAAACACTCTTTTTGTAGTGTGTGTAAGTGGACATTTGGAGCGCTTTCCGGCCTAAGGTGAAAAAGGAAATATCTTCCCATAAAAACTAGACAGAAGCATTCTCAGAAACTTACTCGTGATGTGTGTACTCAACTAAAGGAGTAGAAACTTTCTTTTCATAGAGAAGTTTTGAAACGCTCTTTTTGTGGAATCTGCAAGTGGATATTTGGCTAGTTTTGAGGATTTCGTTGGAAGCGGGAATTCATACAAATTGCAGACTGCAGCGTTCTGAGAAACATCTTTGTGATGTTTGTATTCAGGACACAGAGTTGAACATTCCCTATCATAGAGCAGGTTTGAATCACTCCTTTTGTAGTATCTGGAAGTGGACATTTGGAGCGCTTTCAGGCCTATGTTGGAAAAGGAAATATCTTCCCAAAACAACTAGACAGAAGCATTCTCAGAAACTTATTTGAGATGTGTGTACTCAACTAAGAGAATTGAACCACCGTTTTGAAGGAGCAGTTTTGAAACACTCTTTTTCTGGAATCTGCAAGTGGATATTTGGCTAGCTTTGGGGATTTCGCTGGAAGCGGGAATACATATAAAAAGCACACAGCAGCGTTCTGAGAAACTGCTTTCTGATGTTTGCATTCAAGTCAAAAGTTGAACACTCCCTTTCATAGAGCAGTCTTGAAACACCCCTTTTGTAGTATCTGGAACTGGACTTTTGGAGCGATTTCAGGGCTAAGGTGAAAAAGGAAATATCTTCCCATAAAAACTGGACAGAAGCATTCTCAGAAACTTGTTTATGCTGTATCTACTCAACTAACAAAGTTGAACCTTTCTTTTGATAGAGCAGTTTTGAAATGGTCTTTTTGTGGAATCTGCAAGTGGATATTTGGCTAGTTTTGAGGATTTCGTTGGAAGCGGGAATTCATACAAATTGCAGACTGCAGCGTTCTGAGAAACATCTTTGTGATGTTTGTATTCAGGACAGAGAGTTGAACATTCCCTATCATAGAGCAGGTTGGAATCACTCCTTTTGTAGTATCTGGAAGTGGACATTTGGAGCGCTTTCAGGCCTATGTTGAAAAAGGAAATATCTTCCCATAACAACTAGACACAAGCATTCTCAGAAACTTGTTTGTGATGTGTGCCCTCTACTGACAGAGTTGAACCTTTCTTTTCATAGAGCAGTTTTGAAACACTCTTTTTGTAGAATCTGCAAGAGGATATTTGCATAGCTTTGAGGATTTCGTGGGAAACGGGATTGTCTTCAGGTAAAATCTAGACAGAAGCATTCTCAGAAACTTCTTTGGGATGTTTCCATTCAAGTCACAGAGCAGAACATTCCCTTTGGTAGAGCAGGTTTGAAACACTCTTTTTGTAGTATCTGGAAGTGGACATTTGGAGTGCTTTCAGGCCTATGTTGGAAAGGGAAATATCTTCCCGTAACAACTAGGCAGAAGCATTCTCAGGAAACTTATTTGAGATGTGTGTACTCAACTAAGAGAATTGAACCACCGTTTTGAAGGAGCAGTTTTGAAACACTCTTTTTCTGGAATCTGCTAGAGTATATTTGCCTAGCCTTGAGGATTTCGTTGGAAACGGGATTGTCTTCAGATCAAATCTAGACAGAAGCATTCTCAGAAACTTCTTTGGGATGTTTGCATTCAAGTCACAGAGTAGAACATTCCCTTTGGTAGAGCAGGTTTGAAACACTCTTTTTTTAGTATATGGAAGGACATTTGGAGCGCTTTCAGGCCTACGTTGGAAAAGGAAATATCTTCCCATAACAACTAGACAGAAGCATTCTCAGAAACTAGTTTCTGATGTGTGTCCTCAACTAACACAGTTGAACATTTCTTTAGACAGAACAGTTTTGAAACACTCTTTTTGTGGAATCTGCAAGTGGCTATTTGGCTAGATTTGAGGATTTCGTTGGAAACGGGATTACATATAAAAAGCAGCCAGCAGCATTCTCAGAAAGTTCTTTGTGATGATTGCATTCAAGTCACAGAATTGAACATTCCCTTTCACAGAGCAGGTTTGAAACACTCTTTTTGTAGTGTGTGTAAGTGGACATTTGGAGCACTTACCGGCCTAAGGTGAAAAAGGAAATAATCTTCCCATAAAAACTAGACAGAAGCATTCTCAGAAACTTACTCGTGATGTGTGTCCTCAACTAAAGGAGTAGAACCTTTCTTTTCATAGAGAAGTTTTGAAACGCTCTTTTTGTGGAATCTGCAAGTGGATATTTGGCTAGTTTTGAGGATTTCGTTGGAAGCGGGAATTCATACAAATTGCAGACTGCAGCGTTCTGAGAAACATCTTTGTGATGTTTGTATTCAGGACACAGAGTTGAACATTCCCTATCATAGAGCAGGTTTGAATCACTCCTTTTGTAGTATCTGGAAGTGGACATTTGGAGCGCTTTCAGGCCTATGTTGGAAAAGGAAATATCTTCCCATAACAACTAGACAGAAGCATTCTCAGAAACTTATTTGAGATGTGTGTACTCAACTAAGAGAATTGAACCACCGTTTTGAAGGAGCAGTTTTGAAACTCTCTTTTTCTGGAATCTGCAAGTGGATATTTGGCTAGCTTTGGGGATTTCGCTGGAAGCGGGAATACATATAAAAAGCCCACAGCAGCGTTCTGAGAAACTGCTTTCTGATGTTTGCATTCAAGTCAAAAGTTGAACACTCCCTTTCATAGAGCAGTCTTGAAACACCCCTTTTGTAGTATCTGGAACTGGACTTTTGGAGCGATTTCAGGGCTAAGGTGAAAAAGGAAATATCTTCCCATAAAAACTGGACAGAAGCATTCTCAGAAACTTGTTTATGCTGTATCTACTCAACTAACAAAGTTGAACCTTTCTTTTGATAGAGCAGTTTTGAAATGGTCTTTTTGTGGAATCTGCAAGTGGATATTTGGCTAGTTTTGAGGATTTCGTTGGAAGCGGGAATTCATACAAATTGCAGACTGCAGCGTTCTGAGAAACATCTTTGTGATGTTTGTATTCAGGACAGAGAGTTGAACATTCCCTATCATAGAGCAGGTTGGAATCACTCCTTTTGTAGTATCTGGAAGTGGACATTTGGAGCGCTTTCAGGCCTATGTTGAAAAAGGAAATATCTTCCCATAACAACTAGACACAAGCATTCTCAGAAACTTGTTTGTGATGTGTGCCCTCTACTGACAGAGTTGAACCTTTCTTTTCATAGAGCAGTTTTGAAACACTCTTTTTGTAGAATCTGCAAGAGGATATTTGCATAGCTTTGAGGATTTCGTGGGAAACGGGATTGTCTTCAGGTAAAATCTAGACAGAAGCATTCTCAGAAACTTTTTTGGGATGTTTGCATTCAAGTCACAGAGTAGAACATTCCCTTTGGTAGAGCAGGTTTGAAACACTCTTTTTGTAGTATCTGGAAGTGGACATTTGGAGCACTATCAGGCCCATGTTGGAAAGGGAAATATCTTCCCGTAACAACTAGGCAGAAGCATTCTCAGAAACTTATTTGAGATGTGTGTACTCAACTAAGAGAATTGAACCACCGTTTTGAAGGAGCAGTTTTGAAACACTCTTTTTCTGGAATCTGCAAGAGTATATTTGCCTAGCCTTGAGGATTTCGTTGGAAACGGGATTGTCTTCAGATAAAATCTAGACAGAAGCATTCTCAGAAACTTCTTTGGGATGTTTGCATTCAAGTCACAGAGTAGAACATTCCCTTTGGTAGAGCAGGTTTGAAACACTCTTTTTTTAGTATATGGAAGTGGACATTTGGAGCGCTTTCAGGCCTACGTTGGAAAAGGAAATATCTTCCCATAACAACTAGACAGAAGCATTCTCAGAAACTAGTTTCTGATGTGTGTCCTCAACTAACACAGTTGAACTTTTCTTTACACAGAACAGTTTTGAAACACTCTTTTTGTGGAATCTGCAAGTGGATATTTGGCTAGATTTGAAGATTTCGTTGGAAACGGGATTACATATAAAAAGCAGACAGCAGCATTCTCAGAAAGTTCTTTGTGATGATTGCATTCAAGTCACAGAATTGAACATTCCCTTTCACAGAGCAGGTTTGAAACACTCTTTTTGTAGTGTGTGTAAGTGGACATTTGGAGCGCTTTCCGGCCTAAGGTGAAAAAGGAAATATCTTCCCATAAAAACTAGACAGAAGCATTCTCAGAAACTTACTCGTGATGTGTGTCCTCAACTAAAGGAGTAGAACCTTTCTGTTCATAGAGAAGTTTTGAAACGCTCTTTTTGTGGAATCTCCAAGTGGATATTTGGCTAGTTTTGAGGATTTCATTGGAAGCGGGAATTCACACAAATTGCAGACTGCAGCGTTCTGAGAAACATCTTTGTGATGTTTGTATTCAGGACACAGAGATGAACATTCCCTATCATAGAGCAGGTTGGAATCACTCCTTTTGTAGTATCTGGAAGTGGACATTTGGAGCGCTTTCAGGCCTATGTTGAAAAAGGAAATATCTTCCCATAACAACTAGACACAAGCATTCTCAGAAACTTATTTGAGATGTGTGTACTCAACTAAGAGAATTGAACCACCGTTTTGAAGGAGCAGTTTTGAAACTCTCTTTTTCTGGAATCTGCAAGTGGATATTTGGCTAGCTTTGGGGATTTCGCTGGAAGCGGGAATACATATAAAAAGCACACAGCAGCGTTCTGAGAAACTGCTTTCTGATGTTTGCATTCAAGTCAAAAGTTGAACACTCCCTTTCATAGAGCAGTCTTGAAACACCCCTTTTGTAGTATCTGGAACTGGACTTTTGGAGCGATTTCAGGGCTAAGGTGAAAAAGGAAATATCTTCCCATAAAAACTGGACAGAAGCATTCTCAGAAACTTGTTTATGCTGTATCTACTCAACTAACAAAGTTGAACCTTTCTTTTGATAGAGCAGTTTTGAAATGGTCTTTTTGTGGAATCTGCAAGTGGATATTTGGCTAGTTTTGAGGATTTCGTTGGAAGCGGGAATTCATACAAATTGCAGACTGCAGCGTTCTGAGAAACATCTTTGTGATGTTTGTATTCAGGACACAGAGTTGAACATTCCCTATCATAGAGCAGGTTTGAATCACTCCTTTTGTAGTATCTGGAAGTGGACATTTGGAGCGCTTTCAGGCCTATGTTGGAAAAGGAAATATCTTCCCATAACAACTAGACAGAAGCATTCCCAGAAACTTATTTGAGATGTGTGTACTCAACTAAGAGAATTGAACCACCGTTTTGAAGGAGCAGTTTGGAAACACTCTTTTTCTGGAATCTGCAAGTGGATATTTGGCTAGCTTTGGGGATTTCGCTGGAAGCGGGAATACATATAAAAAGCACACAGCAGCGTTCTGAGAAACTGCTTTCTGATGTTTGCATTCAAGTCAAAAGTTGAACACTCCCTTTCATAGAGCAGTCTTGAAACACCCCTTTTGTAGTATCTGGAACTGGACATTTGGAGCGCTTTCAGGGCTAAGGTGAAAAAGGAAATATCTTCCCATAAAAACTGGACAGAAGCATTCTCAGCAAACTTGTTTATGCTGTATCTACTCAACTAACAAAGTTGAACCTTTCTTTTGATAGAGCAGTTTTGAAATGCTCTTTTTGTGGAATCTGCAAGTGGATATTTGGCTAGTTTTGAGGATTTCGTTGGAAGCGGGAATTCATACAAATTGCAGACTGCAGCGTTCTGAGAAACATCTTTGTGATGTTTGTATTCAGGACACAGAGTTGAACATTCCCTATCATAGAGCAGGTTGGAATCACTCCTTTTGTAGTATCTGGAAGTGGACATTTGGAGCGCTTTCAGGCCTATGTTGAAAAAGGAAATATCTTCCCATAACAACTAGGCAGAAGCATTCTCAGAAACTTGTTTGTGATGTGTGCCCTCTACTGACACAGTTGAACCTTTCTTTTCATAGAGCAGTTTCGAAACACTCTTTTTGTAGAATCTGCAAGAGGATATTTGCTTAGCTTTGAGGATTTCGTGGGAAACGGGATTGTCTTCAGGTAAAATCTAGACAGAAGCATTCTCAGAAACTTCTTTGGGATGTTTGCATTCAAGTCACAGAGTAGAACATTCCCTTTGGTAGAGCAGGTTTGAAACACTCTTTTTGTAGTGTGTGTAAGTGGACATTTGGAGCGCTTTCTGGCCTACGTTGGAAAAGGAAATATCTTCCCATAACAACTAGACAGAAGCATTCTCAGAAACTAGTTTCTGATGTGTGTCCTCAACTAAAACAGTTGAACATTTCTTTAGACAGAACAGTTTTGAAACACTCTTTTTGTGGAATCTGCAAGTGGATATTTGGCTACATTTGAGGATTTCGTTGGAAACGGGATTACATATAAAAAGCAGACAGCAGCATTCTCAGAAACTTCTTTGTGATGATTGCATTCAAGTCACAGAATTGAACATTCCTTTTCACAGAGCAGGTTTGAAACACTCTTTTTCTAGTGTGTGTAAGTGGACATTTGGAGCGCTTTCCGGCCTAAGGTGAACAAGGAAATATCTTCCCATAAAAACTAGACAGAAGCATTCTCAGAAACTTACTCGTGATGTGTGTCCTCAACTAAAGGAGTAGAACCTTTCTTTTCATAGAGAAGTTTTGAAACGCTCTTTTTGTGGAATCTGCAAGTGGATATTTGGCTAGTTTTGAGGATTTCGTTGGAAGCGGGAATTCATACAAATTGCAGACTGCAGCGTTCTGAGAAACATCTTTGTGATGTTTGTATTCAGGACACAGAGTTGAACATTCCCTATCATAGAGCAGGTTTGAATCACTCCTTTTGTAGGATCTGGAAGTGGACATTTGGAGCGCTTTCAGGCCTATGTTGGAAAAGGAAATATCTTCCCATAACAACTAGACAGAAGCATTCTCAGAAACTTATTTGAGATGTGTGTACTCAACTAAGAGAATTGTACCACCGTTTTGAAGGAGCAGTTTTGAAACACTCTTTTTCTGGAATCTGCAAGTGGATATTTGGCTAGCTTTGGGGATTTCGCTGGAAGCGGGAATACATATAAAAAGCACACAGCAGCGTTCTGAGAAACTGCTTTCTGATGTTTGCATTCAAGTCAAAAGTTGAACACTCCCTTTCATAGAGCAGTCCTGAAACACCCCTTTTGTAGTATCTGGAACTGGACTTTTGGAGCGATTTCAGGGCTAAGGTGAAAAAGGAAATATCTTCCCATAAAAACTGGACAGAAGCATTCTCAGAAACATGTTTATGCTGTATCTACTCTACTAAAAAAGTTGAACCTTTCTTTTGATAGAGCAGTTTTGAAATGCTCTTTTTGTGGAATCTGCAATTGGATATTTGGCTAGATTTGAGGATTTCGTTGGAAGCTGGAATACATACAAATTGCAGACTGCAGCGTTCTGAGAAACATCTTTGTGATGTTTGTATTCAGGACACAGAGTTGAACATTCCCTATCATAGAGCAGGTTGGAGTCACTCCTTTTGTAGTATCTGGAAGTGGACATTTGGAGCGCTTTCAGGCCTATGTTGAAAAAGGAAATATCTTCCCATAACAACTAGACACAAGCATTCTCAGAAACTTGTTTGTGATGTGTGCCCTCTACTGACAGAGTTGAACCTTTCTTTTCATAGAGCAGTTTTGAAACACTCTTTTTGTAGAATCTGCAAGAGGATATTTGCATAGCTTTGAGGATTTCGTGGGAAACGGGATTGTCTTCAGGTAAAATCTAGACAGAAGCATTCTCAGAAACTTCTTTGGGATGTTTGCATTCAAGTCACAGAGTAGAAAATTCCCTTTGGTAGAGCAGGTTTGAAACACTCTTTTTTTAGTATATGGAAGTGGACATTTGGAGCGCTTTCAGGCCTACGTTGGAAAAGGAAATATCTTCCCATAACAACTAGACAGAAGCATTCTCAGAAACTAGTTTCTGATGTGTGTCCTCAACTAACACAGTTGTACATTTCTTTAGACAGAACAGTTTTGAAACACTCTTTTTGTGGAATCTGCAAGTGGATATTTGGCTAGATTTGAGGATTTCGTTGGAAATGGGATTACATATAAAAAGCAGTCAGCAGCATTCTCAGAAAGTTCTTTGTGATGATTGCATTCAAGTCACAGAATTGAACATTCCCTTTCACAGAGCAGGTTTGAAACACTCTTTTTGTAGTGTGTGTAAGTGGACATTTGGAGCGCTTTCCGGCCTAAGGTGAAAAAGGAAATATCTTCCCATAAAAACTAGACAGAAGCATTCTCAGAAACTTACTCGTGATGTGTGTCCTCAACTAAAGGAGTAGAACATTTCTATTCATAGAGAAGTTTTGAAACGCTCTTTTTGTGGAATCTCCAAGTGGATATTTGGCTAGTTTTGAGGATTTCGTTGGAAGCGGGAATTCATACAAATTGCAGACTGCAGCGTTCTGAGAATCATCTTTGTGATGTTTGTATTCAGGACACAGAGATGAACATTCCCTATCATAGAGTAGGTTGGAATCACTCCTTTTGTAGTATCTGGAAGTGGACATTTGGAGCGCTTTCAGTCCTATGTTGAAAAAGGAAATATCTTCCCATAACAACTAGACACAAGCATTCTCAGAAACTTGTTTGTGATGTGTGCCCTCTACTGACAGAGTTGAACCTTTCTTTTCATAGAGCAGTTTTGAAACACTCTTTTTGTAGAATCTGCAAGAGGATATTTGCATAGCTTTGAGGATTTCGTGGGAAACGGGATTGTCTTCAGGTAAAATCTAGACAGAAGCATTCTCAGAAACTTCTTTGGGATGTTTGCATTCAAGTCACAGAGTAGAACATTCCCTTTGGTAGAGCAGGTTTGAAACACTCTTTTTGTAGTATCTGGAAGTGGACATTTGGAGCGCTTTCAGGCCCATGTTGGAAAGGGAAATATCTTCCCGTAACAACTAGGCAGAAGCATTCTCAGAAACTTATTTGAGATGTGTGTACTCAACTAAGAGAATTGAACCACCGTTTTGAAGGAGCAGTTTTGAAACACTCTTTTTCTGGAATCTGCAAGAGTATATTTGCCTAGCCTTGAGGATTTCGTTGGAAACGGGATTGTCTTCAGATAAAATCTAGACAGAAGCATTCTCAGAAACTTCTTTGGGATGTTTGCATTCAAGTCACAGAGTAGAACATTCCCTTTGGTAGAGCAGGTTTGAAACACTCTTTTTTTAGTATATGGAAGTGGACATTTGGAGCGCTTTCAGGCCTACGTTGGAAAAGGAAATATCTTCCCATAACAACTAGACAGAAGCATTCTCAGAAACTAGTTTCTGATGTGTGTCCTCAACTAACACAGTTGAACATTTCTTTAGACAGAACAGTTTTGAAACACTCTTTTTGTGGAATTTGCAAGTGGATATTTGGCTAGATTTGAGCATTTCGTTGGAAACGGGATTACATATAAAAAGCAGACAGCAGCATTCTCAGAAACTTCTTTGTGATGATTGCATTCAAGTCACAGAATTGAACATTCCCTTTCACAGAGCAGGTTTGAAACACTCTTTTTGTAGTGTGTGTAAGTGGACATTTGGAGCGCTTTCCGGCCTAAGGTGAACAAGGAAATATCTTCCCATAAAAACTAGACAGAAGCATTCTCAGAAACTTACTCGTGATGTGTGTCCTCAACTAAAGGAGTAGAACCTTTCTTTTCATAGAGAAGTTTTGAAACGCTCTTTTTGTGGAATCTGCAAGTGGATATTTGGCTAGTTTGGAGGATTTCGTTGGAAGCGGGAATTCATACAAATTGCAGACTGCGCGGTTCTGAGAAACATCTTTGTGATGTTTGTATTCAGGACACAGAGTTGAACATTCCCTATCATAGAGCAGGTTGGAATCACTCCTTTTGTAGTATCTGGAAGTGGACATTTGGAGCGCTTTCAGGCCTATGTTGGAAAAGGAAATATCTTCCCATAACAACTAGACAGAAGCATTCTCAGAAACTTATTTGAGATGTGTGTACTCAACTAAGAGAATTGAACCACCGTTTTGAAGGAGCAGTTTTGAAACACTCTTTTTCTGGAATCTGCAAGTGGATATTTGGCTAGCTTTGGGGATTTCGCTGGAAGCGGGAATACATATAAAAAGCACACAGCAGCGTTCTGAGAAACTGCTTTCTGATGTTTGCATTCAAGTCAAAAGTTGAACACTCCCTTTCATAGTGCAGTCCTGAAACACTCCTTTTGTAGTATCTGGAACTGGACTTTTGGAGCGCTTTCAGGGCTAAGGTGAAAAAGGAAATATCTTCCCATAAAAACTGGACAGAAGCATTCTCAGAAACTTGTTTATGCTGTATCTACTCAACTAACAAAGTTGAACCTTTCTTTTGATAGAGCAGTTTTGAAATGCTCTTTTTGTGGAATCTGCAAGTGGATATTTGGCTAGTTTTGAGGATTTCGTTGGAAGCGGGAATTCATACAAATTGCAGACTGCAGCGTTCTGAGAAACATCTTTGTGATGTTTGTATTCAGGACACAGAGTTGAACATTCCCTATCATAGAGCAGGTTGGAATCACTCCTTTTGTAGTATCTGGAAGTGGACATTTGGAGCGCTTTCAGGCCTATTTTGGAAAGGGAAATATCTTCCCGTAACAACTATGCAGAAGCATTCTCAGAAACTTGTTTGTGATGTGTGCCCTCTACTGACAGAGTTGAACCTTTCTTTTCATAGAGCAGTTTTGAAACACTCTTTTTGTAGAATCTGCAAGAGGATATTTGCATAGCTTTGAGGATTTCGTGGGAAACGGGATTGTCTTCAGGTAAAATCTAGACAGAAGCATTCTCAGAAACTTCTTTGGGATGTTTGCATTCAAGTCACAGAGTAGAACATTCCCTTTGGTAGAGCAGGTTTGAAACACTCTTTTTGTAGTATCTGGAAGTGGACATTTGGAGCGCTTTCAGGCCTATGTTGGAAAGGGAAATATCTTCCCGTAACAACTAGGCAGAAGCATTCTCAGAAACTTATTTGAGATGTGTGTACTCAACTAAGAGAATTGAACCACCGTTTTGAAGGAGCAGTTTTGAAACACTCTTTTTCTGGAATCTGCAAGAGTATATTTGCCTAGCCTTGAGGATTTCGTTGGAAACGGGATTGTCTTCAGAGAAAATCTAGACAGAAGCATTCTCAGAAACTTCTTTGGGATGTTTGCATTCAAGTCACAGAGTAGAACATTCCCTTTGGTAGAGCAGGTTTGAAACACTCTTTTTGTAGTATCTGGAAGTGGACATTTGGAGCGCTTTCAGGCCTATGTTGGAAAGGGAAATATCTTCCCGTAACAACTAGGCAGAAGCATTCTCAGAAACTTATTTGAGATGGGTGTACTCAACTAAGAGAATTGAACCACCCTTTTCAAGGAGCAGTTTTGAAACACTCTTTTTCTGGAATCTGCAAGAGTATATTTGCCTAGCTTTGAGGATTTCGTTGGAAACGGGATTGTCTTCAGATAAAATCTAGACAGAAGCATTCTCAGAAACTTCTTTGGGTGTTTGCATTCAATTCATAGAGTAGAACATTCCCTTTGTTAGAGCAGGTTTGAAACACTCTTTTTTTAGTATATGGAAGTGGACATTTGGAGCGCTTTCAGGCCTACGTTGGAAAAGGAAATATCTTCCCATAACAACTAGACAGAAAGCATTCTCAGAAACTAGTTTCTGATGTGTGTCCTCAACTAACACAGTTGAACATTTCTTTAGACAGAACAGTTTTGAAACTCTCTTTTTGTGGAATCTGCAAGTGGCTATTTGGCTAGATTTGAGGATTTCATTGGAAACGGGATTACATATAAAAAGCAGACAGCAGCATTCTCAGAAAGTTCTTTGTGATGATTGCATTCAAGTCACAGAATTGAACATTCCCTTTCACAGAGCAGGTTTGAAACACTCTTTTTGTAGTGTGTGTAAGTGGACATTTGGAGCACTTTCCGGCCTAAGGTGAAAAAGGACATATCTTCCCATAAAAACTAGACAGAAGCATTCTCAGAAACTTACTCGTGATGTGTGTCCTCAACTAAAGGAGTAGAACCTTTCTTTTCATAGAGAAGTTTTGAAACGCTCTTTTTGTGGAATCTGCAAGTGGATATTTGGCTAGTTTTGAGGATTTCGTTGGAAGCGGGAATTCATACAAATTGCAGACTGCAGCGTTCTGAGAAACATCTTTGTGATGTTTGTATTCAGGACACAGAGTTGAACATTCCCTATCATAGAGCAGGTTTGAATCACTCCTTTTGTAGTATCTGGAAGTGGACATTTGGAGCGCTTTCAGGCCTATGTTGGAAAAGGAAATATCTTCCCATAACAACTAGACAGAAGCATTCTCAGAAACTTATTTGAGATGTGTGTACTCAACTAAGAGAATTGAACCACCGTTTTGAAGGAGCAGTTTTGAAACTCTCTTTTTCTGGAATCTGCAAGTGGATATTTGGCTAGCTTTGGGGATTTCGCTGGAAGCGGGAATACATATAAAAAGCACACAGCAGCGTTCTGAGAAACTGCTTTCTGATGTTTGCATTCAAGTCAAAAGTTGAACACTCCCTTTCATAGAGCAGTCCTGAAACACCCCTTTTGTAGTATCTGGAACTGGACTTTTGGAGCGATTTCAGGGCTAAGGTGAAAAAGGAAATATCTTCCCATAAAAACTGGACAGAAGCATTCTCAGAAACTTTTTTATGCTGTATCTACTCAACTAACAAAGTTGAACCTTTCTTTTGATAGAGCAGTTTTGAAATGCTCTTTTTGTGGAATCTGCAAGTGGATATTTGGCTAGTTTTGAGGATTTCGTTGGAAGCGGGAATTCATACAAATTGCAGACTGCAGCGTTCTGAGAAACATCTTTGTGATGTTTGTATTCAGGACAGAGAGTTGAACATTCCCTATCATAGAGCAGGTTGGAATCACTCCTTTTGTAGTATCTGGAAGTGGACATTTGGAGCGCTTTCTGGCCTATGTTGAAAAAGGAAATATCTTCCCATAACAACTAGACACAAGCATTCTCAGAAACTTGTTTGTGATGTGTGCCCTCTACTGACAGAGTTGAACCTTTCTTTTCATAGAGCAGTTTTGAAACACTCTTTTTGTAGAATCTGCAAGAGGATATTTGCATAGCTTTGAGGATTTCGTGGGAAACGGGATTGTCTTCAGGTAAAATCTAGACAGAAGCATTCTCAGAAACTTCTTTGGGATGTTTGCATTCAAGTCACAGAGTAGAACATTCCCTTTGGTAGAGCAGGTTTGAAACACTCTTTTTATAGTATCTGGAAGTGGACATTTGGAGCGCTTTCAGGCCTATGTTGGAAAGGGAAATATCTTCCCGTAACAACTAGGCAGAAGCATTCTCAGAAACTTATTTGAGATGTGTGTACTCAACTAAGAGAATTGAACCACCGTTTTGAAGGAGCAGTTTTGAAACACTCTTTTTCTGGAATCTGCAAGAGGATATTTGCCTAGCCTTGAGGATTTCGTTGGAAACGGGATTGTCTTCAGATCAAATCTAGACAGAAGCATTCTCAGAAACTTCTTTGGGATGTTTGCATTCAAGTCACAGAGTAGAACATTCCCTTTGGTAGAGCAGGTTTGAAACACTCTTTTTTTAGTATATGGAAGTGGACATTTGGAGCGCTTTCAGGCCTACGTTGGAAAAGGAAATATCTTCCCATAACAACTAGACAGAAGCATTCTCAGAAACTAGTTTCTGATGTGTGTCCTCAACTAACACAGTTGAACATTTCTTTAGACAGAACAGTTTTGAAACTCTCTTTTTGTGGAATCTGCAAGTGGCTATTTGGCTAGATTTGAGGATTTCGTTGGAAACGGGATTACATATAAAAAGCAGACAGCAGCATTCTCAGAAAGTTCTTTGTGATGATTGCATTCAAGTCACAGAATTGAACATTCCCTTTCACAGAGCAGGTTTGAAACACTCTTTTTGTAGTGTGTGTAAGTGGACATTTGGAGCACTTTCCGGCCTAAGGTGAGAAAGGAAATATCTTCCCATAAAAACTAGACAGAAGCATTCTCAGAAACTTACTCATGATGTGTGTCCTCAACTAAAGGAGTAGAACCTTTCTTTCATAGAGAAGTTTTGAAACGCTCTTTTTGTGGAATCTGCAAGTGGATATTTGGCTAGTTTGGAGGATTTCGTTGGAAGCGGGAATTCATACAAATTGCAGACTGCAGCGTTCTGAGAAACATCTTTGTGATGTTTGTATTCAGGACACAGAGTTGAACATTCCCTATCATAGAGCAGGTTGGAATCACTCCTTTTGTAGTATCTGGAAGTGGACATTTGGAGCGCTTTCAGGCCTATGTTGGAAAAGGAAATATCTTCCCATAACAACTAGACAGAAGCATTCTCAGAAACTTATTTGAGATGTGTGTACTCAACTAAGAGAATTGAACCACCGTTTTGAAGGAGCAGTTTTGAAACACTCTTTTTCTGGAATCTGCAAGTGGATATTTGGCTAGCTTTGGGGATTTCGCTGGAAGCGGGAATACATATAAAAAGCACACAGCAGCGTTCTGAGAAACTGCTTTCTGATGTTTGCATTCAAGTCAAAAGTTGAACACTCCCTTTCATAGAGCAGTCCTGAAACACTCCTTTTGTAGTATCTGGAACTGGACTTTTGGAGCGCTTTCAGGGCTAAGGTGAAAAAGGAAATATCTTCCCATAAAAACTGGACAGAAGCATTCTCAGAAACTTGTTTATGCTGTATCTACTCAACTAACAAAGTTGAACCTTTCTTTTGATAGAGCAGTTTTGAAATGCTCTTTTTGTGGAATCTGCAAGTGGATATTTGGCTAGTTTGGAGGATTTCGTTGGAAGCGGGAATTCATACAAATTGCAGACTGCAGCGTTCTGAGAAACATCTTTGTGATGTTTGTATTCAGGACACAGAGTTGAACATTCCCTATCATAGAGCAGGTTTGAATCACTCCTTTTGTAGTATCTGGAAGTGGACATTTGGAGCGCTTTCAGGCCTATGTTGGAAAAGGAAATATCTTCCCATAACAACTAGACAGAAGCATTCTCAGAAACTTATTTGAGATGTGTGTACTCAACTAAGAGAATTGAACCACCGTTTTGAAGGAGCAGTTTTGAAACACTCTTTTCCTGGAATCTGCAAGTGGATATTTGGCTAGCTTTGGGGATTTCGCTGGAAGCGGGAATACATATAAAAAGCACACAGCAGCGTTCTGAGAAACTGCTTTCTGATGTTTGCATTCAAGTCAAAAGTTGAACACTCCCTTTCATAGTGCAGTCCTGAAACACTCCTTTTGTAGTATCTGGAACTGGACTTTTGGAGCGCTTTCAGGGCTAAGGTGAAAAAGGAAATATCTTCCCATAAAAACTGGACAGAAGCATTCTCAGAAACTTGTTTATGCTGTATCTACTCAACTAACAAAGTTGAACCTTTCTTTTGATAGAGCAGTTTTGAAATCCTCTTTTTGTGGAATCTGCAAGTGCATATTTGGCTAGGTTTGAGGATTTCGTTGGAAGCGGGAATTCATACAAATTGCAGACTGCAGCGTTCTGAGAAACATCTTTGTGATGTTTGTATTCAGGACAGAGAGTTGAACATTCCCTATCATAGAGCAGGTTGGAATCACTCCTTTTGTAGTATCTGGAAGTGGACATTTGGAGCGCTTTCAGGCCTATGTTGAAAAAGGAAATATCTTCCCATAACAACTAGACACAAGCATTCTCAGAAACTTGTTTGTGATGTGTGCCCTCTACTGACAGAGTTGAACCTTTCTTTTCATAGAGCAGTTTTGAAACACTCTTTTTGTAGAATCTGCAAGAGGATATTTGCATAGCTTTGAGGATTTCGTGGGAAACGGGATTGTCTTCAGGTAAAATCTAGACAGAAGCATTCTCAGAAACTTCTTTGGGATGTTTGCATTCAAGTCACAGAGTAGAACATTCCCTTTGGTAGAGCAGGTTTGAAACCCTCTTTTTGTAGTATCTGGAAGTGGACATTCGGAGCGCTATCAGGCCCATGTTGGAAAGGGAAATATCTTCCCGTAACAACTAGGCAGAAGCATTCTCAGAAACTTATTTGAGATGTGTGTACTCAACTAAGAGAATTGAACCACCGTTTTGAAGGTGCAGTTTTGAAACACTCTTTTTCTGGAATCTGCAAGAGTATATTTGCCTAGCCTTGAGGATTTCGTTGGAAACGGGATTGTCTTCAGATAAAATCTAGACAGAAGCATTCTCAGAAACTTCTTTGGGATGTTTGCATTCAAGTCACAGAGTAGAACATTCCCTTTGGTAGAGCAGGTTTGAAACACTCTTTTTTTAGTATATGGAAGTGGACATTTGGAGCGCTTTCAGGCCTACGTTGGAAAAGGAAATATCTTCCCATAACAACTAGACAGAAGCATTCTCAGAAAGTAGTTTCTGATGTGTGTCCTCAACTAACACAGTTGAACATTTCTTTAGACAGAACAGTTTTGAAACTCTCTTTTTGTGGAATCTGCAAGTGGCTATTTGGCTAGATTTGAGGATTTCGTTGGAAACGGGATTACATATAAAAAGCAGACAGCAGCATTCTCAGAAAGTTCTTTGTGATGATTGCATTCAAGTCACAGAATTGAACATTCCCTTTCACAGAGCAGGTTTGAAACACTCTTTTTGTAGTGTGTGTAAGTGGACATTTGGAGCACTTTCCGGCCTAAGGTGAAAAAGGAAATATCTTCCCATAAAAACTAGACAGAAGCATTCTCAGAAACTTACTCGTGATGTGTGTCCTCAACTAAAGGAGTAGAACCTTCCTTTTCATAGAGAAGTTTTGAAACGCTCTTTTTGTGGAATCTGCAAGTGGATATTTGGCTAGTTTTGAGGATTTCGTTGGAAGCGGGAATTCATACAAATTGCAGACTGCAGCGTTCTGAGAAACATCTTTGTGATGTTTGTATTCAGGACACAGAGATGAACATTCCCTATCATAGAGCAGGTTGGAATCACTCCTTTTGTAGTATCTGGAAGTGAACATTTGGAGCGCTTTCAGGCCTATGTTGAAAAAGGAAATATCTTCCCATAACAACTAGACACAAGCATTCCCAAAAACTTATTTGAGATGTGTGTACTCAACTATGAGAATTGAACCACCGTTTTGAAGGAGCAGTTTGGAAACACTCTTTTTCTGGAATCTGCAAGTGGATATTTGGCTAGCTTTGGGGATTTCGCTGGAAGCGGGAATACATATAAAAAGCACACAGCAGCGTTCTGAGAAACTGCTTTCTGATGTTTGCATTCAAGTCAAAAGTTGAACACTCCCTTTCATAGAGCAGTCTTGAAACACCCCTTTTGTAGTATCTGGAACTGGACATTTGGAGCGCCTTCAGGGCTAAGGTGAAAAAGGAAATATCTTCCCATAAAAACTGGACAGAAGCATTCTCAGAAACTTGTTTATGCTGTATCTACTCAACTAACAAAGTTGAACCTTTCTTTTGATAGAGCAGTTTTGAAATGCTCTTTTTGTGGAATCTGCAAGTGGATATTTGGCTAGTTTTGAGGATTTCGTTGGAAGCGGGAATTCATACAAATTGCAGACTGCAGCGTTCTGAGAAACATCTTTGTGATGTTTGTATTCAAGACACAGAGATGAACATTCCCTATCATAGAGCATGTTGGAATCACTCCTTTTGTAGTATCTGGAAGTGGACATTTGGAGCGCTTTCAGGCCTATGTTGAAAAAGGAAATATCTTCCCATAACAACTAGACACAAGCATTCTCAGAAACTTGTTTGTGATGTGTGCCCTCTACTGACAGAGTTGAACCTTTCTTTTCATAGAGCAGTTTTGAAACACTCTTTTTGTAGAATCCGCAAGAGGATATTTGCATAGCTTTGAGGATTTCGTGGGAAACGGGATTGTCTTCAGGTAAAATCTAGACAGAAGCATTCTCAGAAACTTCTTTGGGATGTTTGCATTCAAGTCACAGAGTAGAACATTCCCTTTGGTAGAGCAGGTTTGAAACACTCTTTTTGTAGTATCTGGAAGTGGACATTTGGAGCGCTTTCAGGCCCATGTTGGAAAGGGAAATATCTTCCCGTAACAACTAGGCAGAAGCATTCTCAGAAACTTATTTGAGATGTGTGTACTCAACGAAGAGAATTGAACCACCGTTTTGAAGGAGCAGTTTTGAAACCCTCTTTTTCTGGAATCTGCAAGAGTATATTTGCCTAGCCTTGAGGATTTCGTTGGAAACGGGATTGTCTTCAGATAAAATCTAGACAGAAGCATTCTCAGAAACTTCTTTGGGATGTTTGCATTCAAGTCACAGAGTAGAACATTCCCTTTGGTAGAGCAGGTTTGAAACACTCTTTTTTTAGTATATGGAAGTGGACATTTGGAGCGCTTTCAGGCCTACGTTGGAAAAGGAAATATCTTCCCATAACAACTAGACAGAAGCATTCTCAGAAACTAGTTTCTGATGTGTGTCCTCAACTAACACAGTTGAACATTTCTTTAGACAGAACAGTTTTGAAACACTCTTTTTGTGGAATCTGCAAGTGGCTATTTGGCTAGATTTGAGGATTTCGTTGGAAACGGGATTACATATAAAAAGCAGACAGCAGCATTCTCAGAAAGTTCTTTGTGATGATTGCATTCAAGTCACAGAATTGAACATTCCCTTTCACAGAACAGGTTTGAAACACTCTTTTTGTAGTGTGTGTAAGTGGACATTTGGAGCACTTTCCGGCCTAAGGTGAAAAAGGAAATATCTTCCCATAAAAACTAGACAGAAGCATTCTCAGAAACTTACTCGTGATGTGTGTCCTCAACTAAAGGAGTAGAACCTTTCTTTTCATAGAGAAGTTTTGAAACGCTCTTTTTGTGGAATCTGCAAGTGGATATTTGGCTAGTTTTGAGGATTTCGTTGGAAGCGGGAATTCATACAAATTGCAGACTGCAGCGTTCTGAGAAACATCTTTGTGATGTTTGTATTCAGGACACAGAGTTGAACATTCCCTATCATAGAGCAGGTTTGAATCATTCCTTTTGTAGTATCTGGAAGTGGACATTTGGAGCGCTTTCAGGCCTATGTTGGAAAAGGAAATATCTTCCCATAACAACTAGACAGAAGCATTCTCAGAAACTTATTTGAGATGGGTGTACTCAACTAAGAGAATTGAATCACCGTTTTGAAGGAGCAGTTTTGAAACACTCTTTTTCTGGAATCTGCAAGTGGATATTTGGCTAGCTTTGGGGATTTCGCTGGAAGCGGGAATACATATAAAAAGCACACAGCAGCGTTCTGAGAAACTGCTTTCTGATGTTTGCATTCAAGTCAAAAGTTGAACACTCCCTTTCATAGAGCAGTCCTGAAACACTCCTTTTGTAGTATCTGGAACTGGACTTTTGGAGCGCTTTCAGGGCTAAGGTGAAAAAGGAAATATCTTCCCATAAAAACTGGACAGAAGCATTCTCAGAAACTTGTTTATGCTGTATCTACTCAACTAACAAAGTTGAACCTTTCTTTTGATAGAGCAGTTTTGAAATGCTCTTTTTGTGGAATCTGCAAGTGGATATTTGGCTAGTTTTGAGGATTTGGTTGGAAGCGGGAATTCATACAAATTGCAGACTGCAGCGTTCTGAGAAACATCTTTGTGATGTTTGTATTCAGGACAGAGAGTTGAACATTCCCTATCATAGAGCAGGTTGGAATCACTCCTTTTGTAGTATCTGGAAGTGGACATTTGGAGCGCTTTCAGGCCTATGTTGAAAAAGGAAATATCTTCCCATAACAACTAGACACAAGCATTCTCAGAAACTTGTTTGTGATGTGTGCCCTCTACTGATAGAGTTGAACCTTTCTTTTCATAGAGCAGTTTTGAAACACTCTTTTTGTAGAATCTGCAAGAGGATATTTGCATAGCTTTGAGGATTACGTGGGAAACGGGATTGTCTTCAGGTAAAATCTAGACAGAAGCATTCTCAGAAACTTCTTTGGGATGTTTGCATTCAAGTCACAGAGTAGAACATTCCCTTTGGTAGAGTAGGTTTGAAACACTCTTTTTGTAGTATTTGGAAGTGGACATTTGGAGCGCTTTCAGGCCTATGTTGGAAAGGGAAATATCTTCCCGTAACAACTAGGCAGAAGCATTCTCAGAAACTTATTTGAGATGTGTGTACTCAACTAAGAGAATTGAATCACCGTTTTGAAGGAGCAGTTTTGAAACACTCTTTTTCTGGAATCTGCAAGAGGATATTTGCCTAGCCTTGAGGATTTCGTTGGAAACGGGATTGTCTTCAGATCAAATCTAGACAGAAGCATTCTCAGAAACTTCTTTGGGATGTTTGCATTCAAGTCACAGAGTAGAACATTCCCTTTGGTAGAGCAGGTTTGAAACACTCTTTTTTTAGTATATGGAAGTGTACATTTGGAGCGCTTTCAGGCCTACGTTGGAAAAGGAAATATCTTCCCATAACAACTAGACAGAAGCATTCTCAGAAACTAGTTTCTGATGTGTGTCCTCAACTAACACAGTTGAACATTTCTTTAGACAGAACAGTTTTGAAACACTCTTTTTGTGGAATCTGCAAGTGGCTATTTGGCTAGATTTGAGGATTTCGTTGGAAACGGGATTACATATAAAAAGCAGACAGCAGCATTCTCAGAAAGTTCTTTGTGATGATTGCATTCAAGTCACAGAATTGAACATTCCCTTTCACAGAGCAGGTTTGAAACACTCTTTTTGTAGTGTGTGTAAGTGGACATTTGGAGCACTTTCCGGCCTAAGGTGAAAAAGGAAATATCTTCCCATAAAAACTAGACAGAAGCATTCTCAGAAACTTACTCGTGATGTGTGTCCTCAACTAAAGGAGTAGAACATTTCTTTTCATAGAGAAGTTTTGAAACACTCTTTTTGTGGAATCTGCAAGTGGCTATTTGGCTAGATTTGAGGATTTCGTTGGAAACGGGATTACATATAAAAAGCAGACAGCAGCATTCTCAGAAAGTTCTTTGTGATGATTGCATTCAAGTCACAGAATTGAACATTCCCTTTCACAGAGCAGGTTTGAAACACTCTTTTTGTAGTGTGTGTAAGTGGACATTTGGAGCACTTTCCGGCCTAAGGTGAAAAAGGAAATATCTTCCCATAAAAACTAGACAGAAGCATTCTCAGAAACTTACTCGTGATGTGTGTCCTCAACTAAAGGAGTAGAACCTTCCTTTTCATAGAGAAGTTTTGAAACGCTCTTTTTGTGGAATCTGCAAGTGGATATTTGGCTAGTTTTGAGGATTTCGTTGGAAGCGGGAATTCATACAAATTGCAGACTGCAGCGTTCTGAGAAACATCTTTGTGATGTTTGTATTCAGGACACAGAGTTGAACATTCCCTATCATAGAGCAGGTTTGAATCACTCCTTTTGTAGTATCTGGAAGTGGACATTTGGAGCGCTTTCAGGCCTATGTTGGAAAAGGAAATATCTTCCCATAACAACTAGACAGAAGCATTCTCAGAAACTTATTTGAGATGTGTGTACTCAACTAAGAGAATTGAACCACCGTTTTGAAGGAGCAGTTTTGAAACACTCTTTTCCTGGAATCTGCAAGTGGATATTTGGCTAGCTTTGGGGATTTCGCTGGAAGCGGGAATACATATAAAAAGCACACAGCAGCGTTCTGAGAAACTGCTTTCTGATGTTTGCATTCAAGTCAAAAGTTGAACACTCCCTTTCATAGTGCAGTCCTGAAACACTCCTTTTGTAGTATCTGGAACTGGACTTTTGGAGCGCTTTCAGGGCTAAGGTGAGAAAGGAAATATCTTCCCATAAAAACTGGACAGAAGCATTCTCAGAAACTTGTTTATGCTGTATCTACTCAACTAACAAAGTTGAACCTTTCTTTTGATAGAGCAGTTTTGAAATGGTCTTTTTGTGGAATCTGCAAGTGGATATTTGGCTAGTTTTGAGGATTTCGTTGGAAGCGGGAATTCATACAAATTGCAGACTGCAGCGTTCTGAGAAACATCTTTGTGATGTTTGTATTCAGGACACAGAGTTGAACATTCCCTATCATAGAGCAGGTTGGAATCACTCCTTTTGTAGTATCTGGAAGTGGACATTTGGAGCGCTTTCAGGCCTATTTTGGAAAGGGAAATATCTTCCCGTAACAACTATGCAGAAGCATTCTCAGAAACTTGTTTGTGATGTGTGCCCTCTACTGACAGAGTTGAACCTTTCTTTTCATAGAGCAGTTTTGAAACACTCTTTTTGTAGAATCTGCAAGAGGATATTTGCATAGCTTTGAGGATTTCGTGGGAAACGGGATTGTCTTCAGGTAAAATCTAGACAGAAGCATTCTCAGAAACTTCTTTGGGATGTTTGCATTCAAGTCACAGAGTAGAACATTCCCTTTGGTAGAGCAGGTTTGAAACCGTCTTTTTGTAGTATCTGGAAGTGGACATTTTGAGCGCATTCAGGCCCATGTTGGAAAGGGAAATATCTTCCTGTAACAACTAGGCAGAAGCATTCTCAGAAACTTATTTGAGATGTGTGTACTCAACTAAGAGAATTGAACCACCGTTTTGAAGGAGCAGTTTTGAAACACTCTTTTTCTGGAATCTGCAAGAGGATATTTGCCTAGCCTTGAGGATTTCGTTGGAAACGGGATTGTCTTCAGATAAAATCTAGACAGAAGCATTCTCAGAAACTTCTTTGGGATGTTTGCATTCAAGTCACAGAGTAGAACATTCCCTTTGGTAGAGCAGGTTTGAAACACTCTTTTTTTAGTATATGGAAGTGGACATTTGGAGCGCTTTCAGGCCTACGTTGGAAAAGGAAATATCTTCCCATAACAACTAGACAGAAGCATTCTCAGAAACTAGTTTCTGATGTGTGTCCTCAACTAACACAGTTGAACTTTTCTTTAGACAGAACAGTTTTGAAACACTCTCTTTGTGGAATCTGCAAGTGGATATTTGGCTAGATTTGAGGATTTCGTTGGAAACGGGATTACATATAAAAAGCAGACAGCAGCATTCTCAGAAACTTCTTTGTGATGATTGCATTCAAGTCACAGAATTGAACATTCCGTTTCACAGAGCAGGTTTGAAACACTCTTTTTGTAGTGTGTGTAAGTGGACATTTGGAGCGCTTTCCGGCCTAAGGTGAACAAGGAAATATCTTCCCATAAAAACTAGACAGAAGCATTCTCAGAAACTTACTCGTGATGTGTGTCCTCAACTAAAGGAGTAGAACCTTTCTTTTCATAGAGAAGTTTTGAAACGCTCTTTTTGTGGAATCTGCAAGTGGATATTTGGCTAGTTTTGAGGATTTTGTTGGAAGCGGGAATTCATACAAATTGCAGACTGCAGCGTTCTGAGAAACATCTTTGTGATGTTTGTATTCAAGACACAGAGATGAACATTCCCTATCATAGAGCATGTTGGAATCACTCCTTTTGTAGTATCTGGAAGTGGACATTTGGAGCGCTTTCAGTCCTATGTTGAAAAAGGAAATATCTTCCCATAACAACTAGACACAAGCATTCTCAGAAACTTGTTTGTGATGTGTGCCCTCTACTGACAGAGTTGAACCTTTCTTTTCATAGAGCAGTTTTGAAACACTCTTTTTGTAGAATCCGCAAGAGGATATTTGCATAGCTTTGAGGATTTCGGGGGAAACGGGATTGTCTTCAGGTAAAATCTAGACAGAAGCATTCTCAGAAACTTCTTTGGGATGTTTGCATTCAAGTCACAGAGTAGAACATTCCCTTTGGTAGAGCAGGTTTGAAACACTCTTTTTGTAGTATCTGGAAGTGGACATTTGGAGCGCTTTCAGGCCTATGTTGGAAAGGGAAATATCTTCCCGTAACAACTAGGCAGAAGCATTCTCAGAAACTTATTTGAGATGTGTGTACTCAACTAAGAGAATTGAACCACCGTTTTGAAGGAGCAGTTTTGAAACACTCTTTTTCTGGAATCTGCAAGAGGATATTTGCCTAGCCTTGAGGATTTCGTTGGAAACGGGATTGTCTTCAGATCAAATCTAGACAGAAGCATTCTCAGAAACTTCTTTGGGATGTTTGCATTCAAGTCACAGAGTAGAACATTCCCTTTGGTAGAGCAGGTTTGAAACACTCTTTTTTTAGTATATGGAAGTGGACATTTGGAGCGCTTTCAGGCCTACGTTGGAAAAGGAAATATCTTCCCATAACAACTAGACAGAAGCATTCTCAGAAACTAGTTTCTGATGTGTGTCCTCAACTAACACAGTTGAACATTTCTTTAGACAGAACAGTTTTGAAACACTCTTTTTGTGGAATCTGCAAGTGGCTATTTGGCTAGATTTGAGGATTTCGTTGGAAACGGGATTACATATAAAAAGCAGACAGCAGCATTCTCAGAAACTTCTTTGTGATGATTGCATTCAAGTCACAGAATTGAACATTCCCTTTCACAGAGCAGGTTTGAAACACTCTTTTTGTAGTGTGTGTAAGTGGACATTTGGAGCACTTTCCGGCCTAAGGTGAAAAAGGAAATATCTTCCCATAAAAACTAGACAGAAGCATTCTCAGAAACTTACTCGTGATGTGTGTCCTCAACTAAAGGAGTAGAACCTTTCTTTTCATAGAGAAGTTTTGAAACGCTCTTTTTGTGGAATCTGCAAGTGGATATTTGGCTAGTTTGGAGGATTTCGTTGGAAGCGGGAATTCATACAAATTGCAGACTGCAGCTTTCTGAGAAACATCTTTGTGATGTTTGTATTCAGGACACAGAGTTGAACATTCCCTATCATAGAGCAGGTTTGAATCACTCCTTTTGTAGTATCTGGAAGTGGACATTTGGAGCGCTTTCAAGCCTATGTTGGAAAAGGAAATATCTTCCCATAACAACTAGACAGAAGC
This sequence comes from Homo sapiens, assembly GCF_000001405.40. Classification (NCBI taxonomy): domain Eukaryota; kingdom Metazoa; phylum Chordata; class Mammalia; order Primates; family Hominidae; genus Homo; species Homo sapiens. The sequence goes on from NC_000018.10 coordinate 18,934,647, forward strand.
ATTCTCAGAAACTTATTTGAGATGTGTGTACTCAACTAAGAGAATTGAACCACCGTTTTGAAGGAGCAGTTTTGAAACACTCTTTTTCTGGAATCTGCAAGTGGATATTTGGCTAGCTTTGGGGATTTCGCTGGAAGCGGGAATACATATAAAAAGCACACAGCAGCGTTCTGAGAAACTGCTTTCTGATGTTTGCATTCAAGTCAAAAGTTGAACACTCCCTTTCATAGAGCAGTCCTGAAACACTCCTTTTGTAGTATCTGGAACTGGACTTTTGGAGCGCTTTCAGGGCTAAGGTGAAAAAGGAAATATCTTCCCATAAAAACTGGACAGAAGCATTCTCAGAAACTTGTTTATGCTGTATCTACTCAACTAACAAAGTTGAACCTTTCTTTTGATAGAGCAGTTTTGAAATGCTCTTTTTGTGGAATCTGCAAGTGGATATTTGGCTAGTTTTGAGGATTTCGCTGGAAGCGGGAATTCATACAAATTGCAGACTGCAGCTTTCTGAGAAACATCTTTGTGATGTTTGTATTCAGGACACAGAGTTGAACATTCCCTATCATAGAGCAGGTTGGAATCACTCCTTTTGTAGTATCTGGAAGTGGACATTTCGAGCGCTTTCAGGCCTATGTTGAAAAAGGAAATATCTTCCCATAACAACTAGACACAAGCATTCTCAGAAACTTGTTTGTGATGTGTGCCCTCTACTGACAGAGTTGAACCTTTCTTTTCATAGAGCAGTTTTGAAACACTCTTTTTGTAGAATCTGCAAGAGGATATTTGCATAGCTTTGAGGATTTCGTGGGAAACGGGATTGTCTTCAGGTAAAATCTAGACAGAAGCATTCTCAGAAACTTCTTTGGGATGTTTGCATTCAAGTCACAGAGTAGAACATTCCCTTTGGTAGAGCAGGTTTGAAACACTCTTTTTGTAGTATCTGGAAGTGGACATTTGGAGCGCTTTCAGGCCCATGTTGGAAAAGGAAATATCTTCCCGTAACAACTAGGCAGAAGCATTCTCAGAAACTTATTTGAGATGTGTGTACTCAACTAAGAGAATTGAACCACCGTTTTGAAGGAGCAGTTTTGAAACACTCTTTTTCTGGAATCTGCAAGAGTATATTTGCCTAGCCTTGAGGATTTCGTTGGAAACGGGATTGTCTTCAGAGAAAATCTAGACAGAAGCATTCTCAGAAACTTCTTTGGGATGTTTGCATTCAAGTCACAGAGTAGAACATTCCCTTTGGTAGAGCAGGTTTGAAACACTCTTTTTTTAGTATATGGAAGTGGACATTTGGAGCGCTTTCAGGCCTACGTTGGAAAAGGAAATATCTTCCCATAACAACTAGACAGAAGCATTCTCAGAAACTAGTTTCTGATGTGTGTCCTCAACTAACACAGTTGAACATTTCTTTAGACAGAACAGTTTTGAAACACTCTTTTTGTGGAATCTGCAAGTGGCTATTTGGCTAGATTTGAGGATTTCGTTGGAAACGGGATTACATATAAAAAGCAGTCAGCAGCATTCTCAGAAAGTTCTTTGTGATGATTGCATTCAAGTCACAGAATTGAACATTCCCTTTCACAGAGCAGGTTTGAAACACTCTTTTTGTAGTGTGTGTAAGTGGACATTTGGAGCACTTACCGGCCTAAGGTGAAAAAGGAAATATCTTCCCATAAAAACTAGACAGAAGCATTCTCAGAAACTTACTCGTGATGTGTGTCCTCAACTAAAGGAGTAGAACCTTTCTTTTCATAGAGAAGTTTTGAAACGCTCTTTTTGTGGAATCTGCAAGTGGATATTTGGCTAGTTTTGAGGATTTCGTTGGAAGCGGGAATTCATACAAATTGCAGACTGCAGCGTTCTGAGAAACATCTTTGTGATGTTTGTATTCAGGACACAGAGTTGAACATTCCCTATCATAGAGCAGGTTGGAATCACTCCTTTTGTAGTATCTGGAAGTGGACATTTGGAGCGCTTTCAGGCCTATGTTGGAAAAGGAAATATCTTCCCATAACAACTAGACAGAAGCATTCTCAGAAACTTATTTGAGATGTGTGTACTCAACTAAGAGAATTGAACCACCGTTTTGAAGGAGCAGTTTTGAAACTCTCTTTTTCTGGAATCTGCAAGTGGATATTTGGCTAGCTTTGGGGATTTCGCTGGAAGCGGGAATACATATAAAAAGCACACAGCAGCGTTCTGAGAAACTGCTTTCTGATGTTTGCATTCAAGTCAAAAGTTGAACACTCCCTTTCATAGAGCAGTCTTGAAACACCCCTTTTGTAGTATCTGGAACTGGACTTTTGGAGCGATTTCAGGGCTAAGGTGAAAAAGGAAATATCTTCCCATAAAAACTGGACAGAAGCATTCTCAGAAACTTGTTTATGCTGTATCTACTCAACTAACAAAGTTGAACCTTTCTTTTGATAGAGCAGTTTTGAAATGGTCTTTTTGTGGAATCTGCAAGTGGATATTTGGCTAGTTTTGAGGATTTCGTTGGAAGCGGGAATTCATACAAATTGCAGACTGCAGCGTTCTGAGAAACATCTTTGTGATGTTTGTATTCAGGACACAGAGTTGAACATTCCCTATCATAGAGCAGGTTGGAATCACTCCTTTTGTAGTATCTGGAAGTGGACATTTGGAGCGCTTTCAGGCCTATGTTGAAAAAGGAAATATCTTCCCATAACAAGTAGACACAAGCATTCTCAGAAACTTGTTTGTGATGTGTGCCCTCTACTGACAGAGTTGAACCTTTCTTTTCATAGAGCAGTTTTGAAACACTCTTTTTGTAGAATCTGCAAGAGGATATTTGCATAGCTTTGAGGATTTCGTGGGAAACGGGATTGTCTTCAGGTAAAATCTAGACAGAAGCATTCTCAGAAACTTCTTTGGGATGTTTGCATTCAAGTCACAGAGCAGAACATTCCCTTTGGTAGAGCAGGTTTGAAACACTTTTTTTGTAGTATCTGGAAGTGGACATTTGGAGCACTTTCCGGCCTAAGGTGAAAAAGGGAATATCTTCCCATAAAAACTAGACAGAAGCATTCTCAGAAACTTACTCGTGATGTGTGTCCTCAACTAAAGGAGTAGAACCTTTGTTTTCATAGAGAAGTTTTGAAACGCTCTTTTTGTGGAATCTGCAAGTGGATATTTGGCTAGTTTGGAGGATTTCGTTGGAAGCGGGAATTCATACAAATTGCAGACTGCAGCGTTCTGAGAAACATCTTTGTGATGTTTGTATTCAGGACACAGAGTTGAACATTCCCTATCATAGAGCAGGTTGGAATCACTCCTTTTGTAGTATCTGGAAGTGGACATTTGGAGCGCTTTCAGGCCTATTTTGGAAAAGGAAATATCTTCCCATAACAACTAGACAGAAGCATTCTCAGAAACTTATTTGAGATGTGTGTACTCAACTAAGAGAATTGAACCACCGTTTTGAAGGAGCAGTTTTGAAACACTCTTTTTCTGGAATCTGCAAGTGGATATTTGGCTAGCTTTGGGGATTTCGCTGGAAGCGGGAATACATATAAAAAGCACACAGCAGCGTTCTGAGAAACTGCTTTCTGATGTTTGCATTCAAGTCAAAAGTTGAACACTCCCTTTCATAGAGCAGTCCTGAAACACTCCTTTTGTAGTATCTGGAACTGGACTTTTGGAGCGCTTTCAGGGCTAAGGTGAAAAAGGAAATATCTTCCCATAAAAACTGGACAGAAGCATTCTCAGAAACTTACTCGTATTGTGTGTCCTCAACTAAAGGAGTAGAACCTTTCTTTTCATAGAGAAGTTTTGAAACGCTCTTTTTGTGGAATCTGCAAGTGGATATTTGGCTAGTTTTGAGGATTTCGTTGGAAGCGGGAATTCATACAAATTGCAGACTGCAGCGTTCTGAGAAACTGCTTTCTGATGTTTGCATTCAAGTCAAAAGTTGAACACTCCCTTTCATAGAGCAGTCCTGAAACACTCCTTTTGCAGTATCTGGAACTGGACTTTTGGAGCGCTTTCAGGGCTAAGGTGAAAAAGGAAATATCTTCCCATAAAAACTGGACAGAAGCATTCTCAGAAACTTGTTTATGCTGTATCTACTCAACTAACAAATTTGAACCTTTCTTTTGATAGAGCAGTTTTGAAATGCTCTTTTTGTGGAATCTGCAAGTGGATATTTGGCTAGTTTTGAGGATTTCGTTGGAAGCGGGAATTCATACAAATTGCAGACTGCAGCGTTCTGAGAAACATCTTTGTGGTGTTTGTATTCAGGACAGAGAGTTGAACATTCCCTATCATAGAGCAGGTTGGAATCACTCCTTTTGTAGTATCTGGAAGTGGACATTTGGAGCGCTTTCAGGCCTATGTTGAAAAAGGAAATATCTTCCCATAACAACTAGACACAAGCATTCTCAGAAACTTGTTTGTGATGTGTGCCCTCTACTGACAGAGTTGAACCTTTCTTTTCTTAGAGCAGTTTTGAAACACTCTTTTTGTAGAATCTGCAAGAGGATATTTGCATAGCTTTGAGGATTTCGTGGGAAACGGGATTGTCCTTCAGGTAAAATCTAGACAGAAGCATTCTCAGAAACTTCTTTGGGATGTTTGCATTCAAGTCACAGAGTAGAACATTCCCTTTGGTAGAGCAGGTTTGAAACACTCTTTTTGTAGTATCTGGAAGTGGACATTTGGAGCGCTTTCAGGCCCATGTTGGAAAGGGAAATATCTTCCCGTAACAACTAGGCAGAAGCATTCTCAGAAACTTATTTGAGATGTGTGTGCTCAACTAAGAGAATTGAACCACCGTTTTGAAGGCGCAGTTTTGAAACACTCTTTTTCTGGAATCTGCAAGAGTATATTTGCCTAGCCTTGACGATTTCGTTGGAAACGTGGTTGTCTTCAGATAAAATCTAGACAGAAGCATTCTCAGAAACTTCTTTGGGATGTTTGCATTCAAGTCACAGAGTAGAACATTCCCTTTGGTAGAGCAGGTTTGAAACACTCTTTTTTTAGTATATGGAAGTGGACATTTGGATCGCTTTCAGGCCTACGTTGGAAAAGGAAATATCTTCCCATAACGACTAGACAGAAGCATTCTCAGAAACTAGTTTCTGATGTGTGTCCTCAACTAACACAGTTGAACATTTCCTTAGACAGAACAGTTTTGAAACACTCTTTTTGTGGAATCTGCAAGTGGCTATTTGGCTAGATTTGAGGATTTCTTTGGAAACGGGATTACATATAAAAAGCAGTCAGCAGCATTCTCAGAAAGTTCTTTGTGATGATTGCATTCAAGTCACAGAATTGAACATTCCCTTTCACAGAGCAGGTTTGAAACACTCTTTTTGTAGTGTGTGTAAGTGGACATTTGGAGCGCTTTCCGGCCTAAGGTGAAAAAGGAAATATCTTCCCATAGAAACTAGAGAGAAGCATTCTCAGAAACTTACTCGTGATGTGTGTCCTCAACTAAAGGAGTAGAACCTTTCTTTCATAGAGAAGTTTTGAAACGCTCTTTTTGTGGAATCTGCAAGTGGATATTTGGCTAGTTTGGAGGATTTCGTTGGAAGCGGGAATTCATACAAATTGCAGACTGCAGCGTTCTGAGAAACATCTTTGTGATGTTTGTATTCAGGACACAGAGTTGAACATTCCCTATCATAGAGCAGGTTGGAATCACTCCTTTTGTAGTATCTGGAAGTGGACATTTGGAGCGCTTTCAGGCCTACGTTGGAAAAGGAAATATCTTCCCATAACAACTAGACAGAAGCATTCTCAGAAACTAGTTTCTGATGTGTGTCCTCAACTAACACAGTTGAACATTTCTTTAGACAGAACAGTTTTGAAACACTCTTTTTGTGGAATCTGCAAGTGGCTATTTGGCTAGATTTGAGGATTTCGTTGGAAACGGGATTACATATAAAAAGCAGACAGCAGCATTCTCAGAAAGTTCTTTGTGATGATTGCATTCAAGTCACAGAATTGAACATTCCCTTTCACAGAGCAGGTTTGAAACACTCTTTTTGTAGTGTGTGTAAGTGGACATTTGGAGCACTTTCCGGCCTAAGGTGAAAAAGGAAATATCTTCCCATAAAAACTAGACAGAAGCATTCTCAGAAACTTACTCGTGATGTGTGTCCTCAACTAAAGGAGTAGAACCTTTCTTTTCATAGAGAAGTTTTGAAACGCTCTTTTTGTGGAATCTGCAAGTGGATATTTGGCTAGTTTGGAGGATTTCGTTGGAAGCGGGAATTCATACAAATTGCAGACTGCAGCGTTCTGAGAAACATCTTTGTGATGTTTGTATTCAGGACAGAGAGTTGAACATTCCCTATCATAGAGCAGGTTGGAATCACTCCTTTTGTAGTATCTGGAAGTGGACATTTGGAGCGCTTTCAGGCCTATGTTGAAAAAGGAAATATACTTCCCATAACAACTAGACACAAGCATTCTCAGAAACTTGTTTGTGATGTGTGCCCGCTACTGACAGAGTTGAACCTTTCTTTTCATAGAGCAGTTTTGAAACACTCTTTTTGTAGAATCTGCAAGAGGATATTTGCATAGCTTTGAGGATTTCGTGGGAAACGGGATTGTCTTCAGGTAAAATCTAGACAGAAGCATTCTCAGAAACTTCTTTGGGATGTTTGCATTCAAGTCACAGAGTAGAACATTCCCTTTGGTAGAGCAGGTTTGAAACACTCTTTTTGTAGTATCTGGAAGTGGACATTTGGAGCGCTTTCAGGCCTATGTTGGAAAGGGAAATATCTTCCCGTAACAACTAGGCAGAAGCATTCTCAGAAACTTATTTGAGATGTGTGTACTCAACTAAGAGAATTGAACCACCGTTTTGAAGGAGCAGTTTCGAAACACTCTTTTTCTGGAATCTGCAAGAGTATATTTGCCTAGCCTTGAGGATTTCGTTGGAAACGGGATTGTCTTCAGATAAAATCTAGACAGAAGCATTCTCAGAAACTTCTTTGGGATGTTTGCATTCAAGTCACAGAGTAGAACATTCCCTTTGGTAGAGCAGGTTTGAAACACTTTTTTTAGTATATGGAAGTGGACATTTGGAGCGCTTTCAGGCCTACGTTGGAAAAGGAAATATCTTCCCATAACAACTAGACAGAAGCATTCTCAGAAACTAGTTTCTGATGTGTGTCCTCAACTAACACAGTTGAACTTTTCTTTAGACAGAACAGTTTTGAAACACTCTTTTTGTGGAATCTGCAAGTGGATATTGGGCTAGATTTGAGGATTTCGTTGGAAACGGGATTACATATAAAAAGCAGACAGCAGCATTCTCAGAAAGTTCTTTGTGATGATTGCATTCAAGTCACAGAATTGAACATTCCCTTTCACAGAGCAGGTTTGAAACACTCTTTTTGTAGTGTGTGTAAGTGGACATTTGGAGCGCTTTCCGGCCTAAGGTGAAAAAAGAAATATCTTCCCATAAAAACTAGACAGAAGCATTCTCAGAAACTTACTCGTGATGTGTGTCCTCAACTAAAGGAGTAGAACCTTTCTTTTCATAGAGAAGTTTTGAAACGCTCTTTTTGTGGAATCTGCAAGTGGATATTTGGCTAGTTTTGAGGATTTCGTTGGAAGCGGGAATTCATACAAATTGCAGACTGCAGCGTTCTGAGAAACATCTTTGTGATGTTTGTATTCAGGACACAGAGTTGAACATTCCCTATCATAGAGCAGGTTTGAATCACTCCTTTTGTAGTATCTGGAAGTGGACATTTGGAGCGCTTTCAGGCCTATGTTGGAAAAGGAAATATCTTCCCATAACAACTAGACAGAAGCATTCTCAGAAACTTATTTGAGATGTGTGTACTCAACTAAGAGAATTGAACCACCGTTTTGAAGGAGCAGTTTTGAAACTCTCTTTTTCTGAAATCTGCAAGTGGATATTTGGCTAGCTTTGGGGATTTCGCTGGAAGCGGGAATACATATAAAAAGCACACAGCAGCGTTCTGAGAAACTGCTTTCTGATGTTTGCATTCAAGTCAAAAGTTGAACACTCCCTTTCATAGAGCAGTCTTGAAACACCCCTTTTGTAGTATCTGGAACTGGACTTTTGGAGCGATTTCAGGGCTAAGGTGAAAAAGGAAATATCTTCCCATAAAAACTGGACAGAAGCATTCTCAGAAACTTGTTTATGCTGTATCTACTCAACTAACAAAGTTGAACCTTTCTTTTGATAGAGCAGTTTTGAAATGGTCTTTTTGTGGAATCTGCAAGTGGATATTTGGCTAGTTTTTAGGATTTCGTTGGAAGCGGGAATTCATACAAATTGCAGACTGCAGCGTTCTGAGAAACATCTTTGTGATGTTTGTATTCAGGACACAGTGATGAACATTCCCTATCATAGAGCAGGTTGGAATCACTCCTTTTGTAGTATCTGGAAGTGGACATTTGGAGCGCTTTCAGGCCTATGTTGAAAAAGGAAATATCTTCCCATAACAACTAGACACAAGCATTCTCAGAAACTTGTTTGTGATGTGTGCCCTCTACTGACAGAGTTGAACCTTTCTTTTCATAGAGCAGTTTTGAAACACTCTTTTTGTAGAATCCACAAGAGGATATTTGCATAGCTTTGAGGATTTTGGGGGAAACGGGATTGTCTTCAGGTAAAATCTAGACAGAAGCATTCTCAGAAACTTCTTTGGGATGTTTGCATTCAAGTCACAGAGTAGAACATTCCCTTTGGTAGAGCAGGTTTGAAACACTCTTTTTGTAGTATCTGGAAGTGGACATTTGGAGCGCTTTCAGGCCTATGTTGGAAAGGGAAATATCTTCCCGTAACAACTAGGCAGAAGCATTCTCAGAAACTTATTTGAGATGTGTGTACTCAACTAAGAGAATTGAACCACCGTTTTGAAGGAGCAGTTTTGAAACACTCTTTTTCTGGAATCTGCAAGAGTATATTTGCCTAGCCTTGAGGATTTCGTTGGAAACGGGATTGTCTTCAGAGAAAATCTAGACAGAAGCATTCTCAGAAACTTCTTTGGGATGTTTGCATTCAAGTCACAGAGTAGAACATTCCCTTTGGTAGAGCAGGTTTGAAACACTCTTTTTTTAGTATATGGAAGTGGACATTTGGAGCGCTTTCAGGCCTACGTTGGAAAAGGAAATATCTTCCCATAACAACTAGACAGAAGCATTCTCAGAAACTAGTTTCTGATGTGTGTCCTCAACTAACACAGTTGAACATTTCTTTAGACAGAACAGTTTTGAAACACTCTTTTTGTGGAATCTGCAAGTGGCTATTTGGCTAGATTTGAGGATTTCGTTGGAAACGGGATTACATATAAAAAGCAGTCAGCAGCATTCTCAGAAAGTTCTTTGTGATGATTGCATTCAAGTCACAGAATTGAACATTCCCTTTCACAGAGCAGGTTTGAAACACTCTTTTTGTAGTGTGTGTAAGTGGACATTTGGAGCACTTACCGGCCTAAGGTGAAAAAGGAAATATCTTCCCATAAAAACTAGACAGAAGCATTCTCAGAAACTTACTCGTGATGTGTGTCCTCAACTAAAGGAGTAGAACCTTTCTTTTCATAGAGAAGTTTTGAAACGCTCTTTTTGTGGAATCTGCAAGTGGATATTTGGCTAGTTTTGAGGATTTCGTTGGAAGCGGGAATTCATACAAATTGCAGACTGCAGCGTTCTGAGAAACATCTTTGTGATGTTTGTATTCAGGACACAGAGTTGAACATTCCCTATCATAGAGCAGGTTGGAATCACTCCTTTTGTAGTATCTGGAAGTGGACATTTGGAGCGCTTTCAGGCCTATGTTGGAAAAGGAAATATCTTCCCATAACAACTAGACAGAAGCATTCTCAGAAACTTATTTGAGATGTGTGTACTCAACTAAGAGAATTGAACCACCGTTTTGAAGGAGCAGTTTTGAAACTCTCTTTTTCTGGAATCTGCAAGTGGATATTTGGCTAGCTTTGGGGATTTCGCTGGAAGCGGGAATACATATAAAAAGCACACAGCAGCGTTCTGAGAAACTGCTTTCTGATGTTTGCATTCAAGTCAAAAGTTGAACACTCCCTTTCATAGAGCAGTCTTGAAACACCCCTTTTGTAGTATCTGGAACTGGACTTTTGGAGCGATTTCAGGGCTAAGGTGAAAAAGGAAATATCTTCCCATAAAAACTGGACAGAAGCATTCTCAGAAACTTGGTTATGCTGTATCTACTCAACTAACAAAGTTGAACCTTTCTTTTGATAGAGCAGTTTTGAAATGGTCTTTTTGTGGAATCTGCAAGTGGATATTTGGCTAGTTTTGAGGATTTCGTTGGAAGCGGGAATTCATACAAATTGCAGACTGCAGCGTTCTGAGAAACATCTTTGTGATGTTTGTATTCAGGACAGAGAGTTGAACATTCCCTATCATAGAGCAGGTTGGAATCACTCCTTTTGTAGTATCTGGAAGTGGACATTTGGAGCGCTTTCAGGCCTATGTTGAAAAAGGAAATATCTTCCCATAACAACTAGACACAAGCATTCTCAGAAACTTGTTTGTGATGTGTGCCCTCTACTGACACAGTTGAACCTTTCTTTTCATAGAGCAGTTTTGAAACACTCTTTTTGTAGAATCTGCAAGAGGATATTTGCACAGCTTTGAGGATTTCGTGGGTAACGGGATTGTCTTCAGGTAAAATCTAGACAGAAGCATTCTCAGAAACTTCTTTGGGATGTTTGCATTCAAGTCACAGAGTAGAACATTCCCTTTGGTAGAGCAGGTTTGAAACACTCTTTTTGTAGTATCTGGAAGTGGACATTTGGAGCGCTTTCAGGCCTATGTTGGAAAGGGAAATATCTTCCCGTAACAACTAGGCAGAAGCATTCTCAGAAACTTATTTGAGATGTGTGTACTCAACTAAGAGAATTGAACCACCGTTTTGAAGGAGCAGTTTTGAAACACTCTTTTTCTGGAATCTGCTAGACGATATTTGCCTAGCCTTGAGGATTTCGTTGGAAACGGGATTGTCTTCAGATAAAATCTAGACAGAAGCATTCTCAGAAACTTCTTTGGGATGTTTGTATTCAAGTCACAGAGTAGAACATTCCCTTTGGTAGAGCAGGTTTGAAACACTCTTTTTTTAGTATATGGAAATGGACATTTGGAGCGCTTTCAGGCCTACGTTGGAAAAGGAAATATCTTCCCATAACAACTAGACAGAAGCATTCTCAGAAACTAGTTTCTGATGTGTGTCCTCAACTAACACAGTTGAACTTTTCTTTAGACAGAACAGTTTGGAAACACTCTTTTTGTGGAATCTGCAAGTGGATATTTGGCTAGATTTGAGGATTTCGTTGGAAACGGGATTACATATAAAAAGCAGACTGCAGCATTCTCAGAAAGTTCTTTGTGATGATTGCATTCAAGTCACAGAATTGAACATTCGCTTTCACAGAGGAGGTTTGAAACACTCTTTTTGTAGTGTGTGTAAGTGGACATTTGGAGCGCTTTCCGGCCTAAGGTGAAAAAGGAAATATCTTCCCATAAAAACTAGACAGAAGCATTCTCAGAAACTTACTCGTGATGTGTGTCCTCAACTAAAGGAGTAGAACCTTTCTATTCATAGAGAAGTTTTGAAACGCTCTTTTTGTGGAATCTCCAAGTGGATATTTGGCTAGTTTTGAGGATTTCGTTGGAAGCGGGAATTCATACAAATTGCAGACTGCAGCGTTCTGAGAAACATCTTTGTGATGTTTGTATTCAAGACACAGAGGTGAACATTCCCTATCATAGAGCATGTTGGAGTCACTCCTTTTGTAGTATCTGGAAGTGGACATTTGGAGCGCTTTCAGGCCTATGTTGAAAAAGGAAATATCTTCCCATAACAACTAGACACAAGCATTCTCAGAAACTTATTTGAGATGTGTGTACTCAACTAAGAGAATTGAACCACCGTTTTGAAGGAGCAGTTTTGAAACACTCTTTTTCTGGAATCTGCAAGTGGATATTTGGCTAGCTTTGGGGATTTCGCTGGAAGCGGGAATACATATAAAAAGCACACAGCAGCGTTCTGAGAAACTGCTTTCTGATGTTTGCATTCAAGTCAAAAGTTGAACACTCCCTTTCATAGAGCAGTCCTGAAACACCCCTTTTGTAGTATCTGGAACTGGACTTTTGGAGCGATTTCAGGGCTAAGGTGAAAAAGGAAATATCTTCCCATAAAAACTGGACAGAAGCTTTCTCAGAAACTTGGTTATGCTGTATCTACTCAACTAACAAAGTTGAACCTTTCTTTTGATAGAGCAGTTTTGAAATGGTCTTTTTGTGGAATCTGCAAGTGGATATTTGGCTAGTTTTGAGGATTTCGTTGGAAGCGGGAATTCATACAAATTGCAGACTGCAGCGTTCTGAGAAACATCTTTGTGATGTTTGTATTCAGGACACAGAGTTGAACATTCCCTATCATAGAGCAGGTTTGAATCACTCCTTTTGTAGTATCTGGAAGTGGACATTTGGAGCGCTTTCAGGCCTATGTTGGAAAAGGAAATATCTTCCCATAACAACTAGACAGAAGCATTCCCAGAAACTTATTTGAGATGTGTGTACTCAACTAAGAGAATTGAACCACCGTTTTGAAGGAGCAGTTTGAAAACACTCTTTTTCTGGAATCTGCAAGTGGATATTTGGCTAGCTTTGGGGATTTCGCTGGAAGCGGGAATACATATAAAAAGCACACAGCAGCATTCTCAGAAACTTATTTGAGATGTGTGTACTCAACTAAGAGAATTGAACCACCGTTTTGAAGGAGCAGTTTTGAAACACTCTTTTTCTGGAATCTGCAAGTGGATATTTGGCTAGCTTTGGGGATTTCGCTGGAAGCGGGAATACATATAAAAAGCACACAGCAGCGTTCTGAGAAACTGCTTTCTGATGTTTGCATTCAAGTCAAAAGTTGAACACTCCATTTCATAGAGCAGTCCTGAAACACTCCTTTTGTAGTATCTGGAACTGGGCTTTTGGAGCGCTTTCAGGGCTAAGGTGAAAAAGGAAATATCTTCCCATAAAAACTGGACAGAAGCATTCTCAGAAACTTGTTTATGCTGTATCTACTCAACTAACAAAGTTGAACCTTTCTTTTGATAGAGCAGTTTTGAAATGCTCTTTTTGTGGAATCTGCAAGTGGATATTTGGCTAGTTTTGAGGATTTCGTTGGAAGCGGGAATTCATACAAATTGCAGACTGCAGCGTTCTGAGAAACATCTTTGTGATGTTTGTATTCAGGACAGAGAGTTGAACATTCCCTATCATAGAGCAGGTTGGAATCACTCCTTTTGTAGTATCTGGAAGTGGACATTTGGAGCGCTTTCAGGCCTATGTTGAAAAAGGAAATATCTTCCCATAACAACTAGACACAAGCATTCTCAGAAACTTGTTTGTGATGTGTGCCCTCTACTGACAGAGTTGAACCTTTCTTTTCATAGAGCAGTTTTGAAACACTCTTTTTGTAGAATCTGCAAGAGGATATTTGCATAGCTTTGAGGATTTCGTGGGAAACGGGATTGTCTTCAGGTAAAATCTAGACAGAAGCATTCTCAGAAACTTCTTTGGGATGTTTGCATTCAAGTCACAGAGTAGAACATTCCCTTTGGTAGAGCAGGTTTGAAACACTCTTTTTGTAGTATCTGGAAGTGGACATTTGGAGCGCTTTCAGGCCCATGTTGGAAAGGGAAATATCTTCCCGTAACAACTAGGCAGGAGGCATTCTCAGGAGACTTATTTGAGATGTGTGTACTCAACTAAGAGAATTGAATCACCGTTTTGAAGGAGCAGTTTTGAAACACTCTTTTTCTGGAATCTGCAAGAGGATATTTGCCTAGCCTTGAGGATTTCGTTGGAAACGGGATTGTCTTCAGATCAAATCTAGACAGAAGCATTCTCAGAAACTTCTTTGGGATGTTTGCATTCAAGTCACAGAGTAGAACATTCCCTTTGGTAGAGCAGGTTTGAAACACTCTTTTTTTAGTATATGGAAGTGGACATTTGGAGCGCTTTCAGGCCTACGTTGGAAAAGGAAATATCTTCCCATAACAACTAGACAGAAGCATTCTCAGAAACTAGTTTCTGATGTGTGTCCTCAACTAACACAGTTGAACATTTCTTTAGACAGAACAGTTTTGAAACACTCTTTTTGTGGAATCTGCAAGTGGCTATTTGGCTAGATTTGAGGATTTCGTTGGAAACGGGATTACATATAAAAAGCAGACAGCAGCATTCTCAGAAAGTTCTTTGTGATGATTGCATTCAAGTCACAGAATTGAACATTCCCTTTCACAGAGCAGGTTTGAAACACTCTTTTTGTAGTGTGTGTAAGTGGACATTTGGAGCACTTTCCGGCCTAAGGTGAAAAAGGAAATATCTTCCCATAAAAACTAGACAGAAGCATTCTCAGAAACTTACTCGTGATGTGTGTCCTCAACTAAAGGAGTAGAACCTTTCTTTTCATAGAGAAGTTTTGAAACGCTCTTTTTGTGGAATCTGCAAGTGGATATTTGGCTAGTTTGGAGGATTTCGTTGGAAGCGGGAATTCATACAAATTGCAGACTGCAGCGTTCTGAGAAACATCTTTGTGACGTTTGTATTCAGGACACAGAGTTGAACATTCCCTATCATAGAGCAAGTTGGAATCACTCCTTTTGTAGTATCTGGAAGTGGACATTTGGAGCGCTTTCAGGCCTATGTTGAAAAAGGAAATATCTTCCCATAACAACTAGACAGAAGCATTCTCAGAAACTTGTTTGTGATGTGTGCCCTCTACTGACACAGTTGAACCTTTCTTTTCATAGAGCACTTTCGAAACACTCTTTTTGTAGAATCTGCAAGAGGATATTTGCATAGCTTTGAGGATTTTGTGGGAAACGGGATTGTCTTCAGGTAAAATCTAGACAGAAGCATTCTCAGAAACTTCTTTGGGATGTTTGCATTCAAGTCACAGAGTAGAACATTCACTTTGGTAGAGCAGGTTTCAAACACTCTTTTTGTAGTGTGTGTAAGTGGACATTTGGAGCGCTTTCAGGCCTACGTTGGAAAAGGAAATATCTTCCCATAACAACTAGACAGAAGCATTCTCAGAAACTAGTTTCTGATGTGTGTCCTCAACTAACACAGTTGAACATTTCTTTAGACAGAACAGTTTTGAAACACTCTTTTTGTGGAATCTGCAAGTGGATATTTGGCTACATTTGAGGATTTCGTTGGAAACGGGATTACATATAAAAAGCAGACAGCAGCATTCTCAGAAACTTCTTTGTGATGATTGCATTCAAGTCACAGAATTGAACATTCCTTTTCACAGAGCAGGTTTGAAACACTCTTTTTCTAGTGTGTGTAAGTGGACATTTGGAGCGCTTTCCGGCCTAAGGTGAACAAGGAAATATCTTCCCATAAAAACTAGACAGAAGCATTCTCAGAAACTTACTCGTGATGTGTGTCCTCAACTAAAGGAGTAGAACCTTTCTTTTCATAGAGAAGTTTTGAAACGCTCTTTTTGTGGAATCTGCAAGTGGATATTTGGCTAGTTTGGAGGATTTCGTTGGAAGCCGGAATTCATACAAATTGCAGACCGCAGCGTTCTGAGAAACTGCTTTCTGATGTTTGCATTCAAGTCAAAAGTTGAACACTCCCTTTCACAGTGCAGTCCTGAAACACTCCTTTTGTAGTATCTGGAACTGGACTTTTGGAGCGCTTTCAGGGCTAAGGTGAAAAAGGAAATATCTTCCCATAAAAACTGGACAGAAGCATTCTCAGAAACTTGTTTATGCTGTATCTACTCAACTAACAAAGTTGAACCTTTCTTTTGATAGAGCAGTTTTGAAATGCTCTTTTTGTGGAATCTGCAAGTGGATATTTGGCTTGTTTTGAGGATTTCGCTGGAAGCGGGAATTCATACAAATTGCAGACTGCAGCGTTCTGAGAAACATCTTTGTGATGTTTGTATTCAGGACAGAGAGTTGAACATTCCCTATCATAGAGCAGGTTGGAATCACTCCTTTTGTAGTATCTGGAAGTGGACATTTGGAGCGCTTTCAGGCCTATGTTGAAAAAGGAAATATCTTCCCATAACAACTAGACAGAAGCATTCTCAGAAACTTGTTTGTGATGTGTGCCCTCTACTGACAGAGTTGAACCTTTCTTTTCATAGAGCAGTTTTGAAACACTCTTTTTGTAGAATCTGCAAGAGGATATTTGCATAGCTTTGAGGATTTCGTGGGAAACGGGATTGTCTTCAGGTAAAATCTAGACAGAAGCGTTCTGAGAAAACATCTTTGTGATGTTTGTATTCAGGACACAGAGTTGAACATTCCCTATCATAGAGCAGGTTTGAATCACTCCTTTTGTAGTATCTGGAAGTGGACATTTGGAGCGCTTTCAGGCCTATGTTGGAAAAGGAAATATCTTCCCATAACAACTAGACAGAAGCATTCTCAGAAACTTATTTGAGATGTGTGTACTCAACTAAGAGAATTGAACCACCGTTTTGAAGGAGCAGTTTTGAAACTCTCTTTTTCTGAAATCTGCAAGTGGATATTTGGCTAGCTTTGGGGATTTCGCTGGAAGCGGGAATACATATAAAAAGCACACAGCAGCGTTCTGAGAAACTGCTTTCTGATGTTTGCATTCAAGTCAAAAGTTGAACACTCCCTTTCATAGAGCAGTCCTGAAACACTCCTTTTGTAGTATCTGGAACTGGACTTTTGGAGCGCTTTCAGGGCTAAGGTGAAAAAGGAAATATCTTCCCATAAAAACTGGACAGAAGCATTCTCAGAAACTTGTTTATGCTGTATCTACTCAACTAACAAAGTTGAACCTTTCTTTTGATAGAGCAGTTTTGAAATGGTCTTTTTGTGGAATCTGCAAGTGGATATTTGGCTAGTTTTGAGGATTTCGTTGGAAGCGGGAATTCATACAAATTGCAGACTGCAGCGTTCTGAGAAACATCTTTGTGATGTTTGTATTCAGGACACAGAGTTGAACATTCCCTATCATAGAGCAGGTTTGAATCACTCCTTTTGTAGTATCTGGAAGTGGACATTTGGAGCGCTTTCAGGCCTATGTTGGAAAAGGAAATATCTTCCCATAACAACTAGACAGAAGCATTCTCAGAAACTTATTTGAGATGTGTGTACTCAACTAAGAGAATTGAACCACCGTTTTGAAGGAGCAGTTTTGAAACACTCTTTTTCTGGAATCTGCAAGTGGATATTTGGCTAGCTTTGGGGATTTCGCTGGAAGCGGGAATACATATAAAAAGCACACAGCAGCGTTCTGAGAAACTGCTTTCTGATGTTTGCATTCAAGTCAAAAGTTGAACACTCCCTTTCATAGAGCAGTCCTGAAACACTCCTTTTGTAGTATCTGGAACTGGACTTTTGGAGCGCTTTCAGGGCTAAGGTGAAAAAGGAAATATCTTCCCATAAAAACTGGACAGAAGCATTCTCAGAAACTTACTCGTATTGTGTGTCCTCAACTAAAGGAGTAGAACCTTTCTTTTCATAGAGAAGTTTTGAAACGCTCTTTTTGTGGAATCTGCAAGTGGATATTTGGCTAGTTTTGAGGATTTCGTTGGAAGCGGGAATTCATACAAATTGCAGACTGCAGCGTTCTGAGAAACATCTTTGTGATGTTTGTATTCAGGACACAGAGTTGAACATTCCCTATCATAGAGCAGGTTTGAATCACTCCTTTTGTAGTATCTGGAAGTGGACATTTGGAGCGCTTTCAGGCCTATGTTGGAAAAGGAAATATCTTCCCATAACAACTAGACAGAAGCATTCCCAGAAACTTATTGGAGATGTGTGTACTCAACTATGAGAATTGAACCACCGTTTTGAAGGAGCAGTTTGGAAACACTCTTTTTCTGGAATCTGCAAGTGGATATTTGGCTAGCTTTGGGGATTTCGCTGTAAGCGGGAATACATATAAAAAGCACACAGCAGCGTTCTGAGAAACTGCTTTCTGATGTTTGCATTCAAGTCAAAAGTTGAACACTCCCTTTCATAGAGCAGTCTTGAAACACCCCTTTTGTAGTATCTGGAACTGGACATTTGGAGCGCCTTCAGGGCTAAGGTGAAAAAGGAAATATCTTCCCATAAAAACTGGACAGAAGCATTCTCAGAAACTTGGTTATGCTGTATCTACTCAACTAACAAAGTTGAACCTTTCTTTTGATAGAGCAGTTTTGAAATGGTCTTTTTGTGGAATCTGCAAGTGGATATTTGGCTAGTTTTGAGGATTTCGTTGGAAGCGGGAATTCATACAAATTGCAGACTGCAGCGTTCTGAGAAACATCTTTGTGATGTTTGTATTCAGGACACAGAGTTGAACATTCCCTATCATAGAGCAGGTTGGAATCACTCCTTTTGTAGTATCTGGAAGTGGACATTTGGAGCGCTTTCAGGCCTATGTTGAAAAAGGAAATATCTTCCCATAACAACTAGACACAAGCATTCTCAGAAACTTGTTTGTGATGTGTGCCCTCTACTGACAGAGTTGAACCTTTCTTTTCATAGAGCAGTTTTGAAACACTCTTTTTGTAGAATCTGCAAGAGGATATTTGCATAGCTTTGAGGATTTCGTGGGAAACGGGATTGTCTTCAGGTAAAATCTAGACAGAAGCATTCTCAGAAACTTCTTTGGGATGTTTGCATTCAAGTCACAGAGTAGAACATTCCCTTTGGTAGAGCAGGTTTGAAACACTCTTTTTGTAGTATCTGGAAGTGGACATTTGGAGCGCTTTCAGGCCCATGCTGGAAAGGGAAATATCTTCCCGTAACAACTAGGCAGAAGCATTCTCAGAAACTTATTTGAGATGTGTGTACTCAACTAAGAGTATTGAACCACCGTTTTGAAGGAGCAGTTTTGAAACACTCTTTTTCTGGAATCTGCAAGAGGATATTTGCCTAGCCTTGAGGATTTCGTTGGAAACGGGATTGTCTTCAGATCAAATCTAGACAGAAGCATTCTCAGAAACTTCTTTGGGATGTTTGCATTCAAGTCACAGAGTAGAACATTCCCTTTGGTAGAGCAGGTTTGAAACACTCTTTTTTTAGTATATGGAAGTGGACATTTGGAGCGCTTTCAGGCCTACGTTGGAAAAGGAAATATCTTCCCATAACAACTAGACAGAAGCATTCTCAGAAACTAGTTTCTGATGTGTGTCCTCAACTAACACAGTTGAACATTTCTTTAGACAGAACAGTTTTGAAACTCTCTTTTTGTGGAATCTGCAAGTGGCTATTTGGCTAGATTTGAGGATTTCGTTGGAAACGGGATTACATATAAAAAGCAGACAGCAGCATTCTCAGAAAGTTCTTTGTGATGATTGCATTCAAGTCACAGAATTGAACATTCCCTTTCACAGAGCAGGTTTGAAACACTCTTTTTGTAGTGTGTGTAAGTGGACATTTGGAGCACTTTCCGGCCTAAGGTGAAAAAGGAAATATCTTCCCATAAAAACTAGACAGAAGCATTCTCAGAAACTTACTCGTGATGTGTGTCCTCAACTAAAGGAGTAGAACCTTTCTTTCGCAGAGAAGTTTTGAAACGCTCTTTTTGTGGAATCTGCAAGTGGATATTTGGCTAGTTTGGAGGATTTCGTTGGAAGCGGGAATTCATACAAATTGCAGACTGCAGCGTTCTGAGAAACATCTTTGTGATGTTTGTATTCAGGACACAGAGTTGAACATTCCCTATCATAGAGCAGGTTGGAATCACTCCTTTTGTAGTATCTGGAAGTGGACATTTGGAGCGCTTTCAGGCCTACGTTGGAAAAGGAAATATCTTCCCATAACAACTAGACAGAAGCATTCTCAGAAACTAGTTTCTGATGTGTGTCCTCAACTAACACAGTTGAACATTTCTTTAGACAGAACAGTTTTGAAACACTCTTTTTGTGGAATCTGCAAGTGGCTATTTGGCTAGATTTGAGGATTTCGTTGGAAACTGGATTACATATAAAAAGCAGACAGCAGCATTCTCAGAAAGTTCTTTGTGATGATTGCATTCAAGTCACAGAATTGAACATTCCCTTTCACAGAGCAGGTTTGAAACACTCTTTTTGTAGTGTGTGTAAGTGGACATTTGGAGCACTTACCGGCCTAAGGTGAAAAAGGAAATATCTTCCCATAAAAACTAGACAGAAGCATTCTCAGAAACTTACTCGTGATGTGTGTCCTCAACTAAAGGAGTAGAACCTTTCTTTTCATAGAGATGTTTTGAAACGCTCTTTTTGTGGAATCTGCAAGTGGATATTTGGCTAGTTTTGAGGATTTCGTTGGAAGCGGGAATTCATACAAATTGCAGACTGCAGCGTTCTGAGAAACATCTTTGTGATGTTTGTATTCAGGACACAGAGTTGAACATTCCCTATCATAGAGCAGGTTTGAATCACTCCTTTTGTAGTATCTGGAAGTGGACATTTGGAGCGCTTTCAGGCCTATGTTGGAAAAGGAAATATCTTCCCATAACAACTAGACAGAAGCATTCCCAGAAACTTATTTGAGATGTGTGTACTCAACTAAGAGAATTGAACCACCGTTTTGAAGGAGCAGTTTGGAAACACTCTTTTTCTGGAATCTGCAAGTGGATATTTGGCTAGCTTTGGGGATTTCGCTGGAAGCGGGAATACATATAAAAAGCACACAGCAGCGTTCTGAGAAACTGCTTTCTGATGTTTGCATTCAAGTCAAAAGTTGAACACTCCCTTTCATAGAGCAGTCTTGAAACACCCCTTTTGTAGTATCTGGAACTGGAAATTTGGAGCGCTTTCAGGGCTAAGGTGAAAAAGGAAATATCTTCCCATAAAAACTGGACAGAAGCATTCTCAGCAAACTTGTTTATGCTGTATCTACTCAACTAACAAAGTTGAACCTTTCTTTTGATAGAGCAGTTTTGAAATGCTCTTTTTGTGGAATCTGCAAGTGGATATTTGGCTAGTTTTGAGGATTTCGTTGGAAGCGGGAATTCATACAAATTGCAGACTGCAGCGTTCTGAGAAACATCTTTGTGATGTTTGTATTCAGGACACAGAGTTGAACATTCCCTATCATAGAGCAGGTTTGAATCACTCCTTTTGTAGTATCTGGAAGTGGACATTTGGAGCGCTTTCAGGCCTATGTTGGAAAAGGAAATATCTTCCCATAACAACTAGACAGAAGCATTCTCAGAAACTTATTTGAGATGTGTGTACTCAACTAAGAGAATTGAACCACCGTTTTGAAGGAGCAGTTTTGAAACACTCTTTTTCTGGAATCTGCAAGTGGATATTTGGCTAGCTTTGGGGATTTCGCTGGAAGCGGGAATACATATAAAAAGCACACAGCAGCGTTCTGAGAAACTGCTTTCTGATGTTTGCATTCAAGTCAAAAGTTGAACACTCCCTTTCATAGAGCAGTCCTGAAACACTCCTTTTGTAGTATCTGGAACTGGACTTTTGGAGCGCTTTCAGGGCTAAGGTGAAAAAGGAAATATCTTCCCATAAAAACTGGACAGAAGCATTCTCAGAAACTTACTCGTATTGTGTGTCCTCAACTAAAGGAGTAGAACCTTTCTTTTCATAGAGAAGTTTTGAAACGCTCTTTTTGTGGAATCTGCAAGTGGATATTTGGCTAGTTTTGAGGATTTCGTTGGAAGCGGGAATTCATACAAATTGCAGACTGCAGCGTTCTGAGAAACATCTTTGTGATGTTTGTATTCAGGACACAGAGTTGAACGTTCCCTATCATAGAGCAGGTTTGAATCACTCCTTTTGTAGTATCTGGAAGTGGACATTTGGAGCGCTTTCCGGCCTCAGGTGAAAAAGGAAATATCTTCCCATAAAAACTAGACAGAAGCATTCTCAGAAACTTATTTGTGATGTGTGTCCTCAACTGACAGAGTTGAACATTTCTTTTGAGAGAGCAGTTTTGAAACACTCTTTCTGTGGAATCTGCAAGTGGATATTTGGCTGGCTTTGAGGATTTCGTTGGAAACGGGAATACATATAAAAAGCAGACAGCAGCATTCTCAGTAAAGTTCTTTGTGATGATTGCATTCAAGTCACAGAATTGAACATTCCCTTTCACAGAGCAGGTTTGAAACACTCTTTTTGTAGTGTGTGTAAGTGGACATTTGGAGCGCTTTCCGGCCTAAGGTGAAAAAGGACATATCTTCCCATAAAAACTAGACAGAGGCATTCTCAGAAACTTGTTTATGCTGTATCTACTCTACTAAAAAAGTTGAACCTTTCTTTTGATAGAGCAGTTTTGAAATGCTCTTTTTGTGGAATCTGCAATTGGATATTTGGCTAGATTTGAGGATTTCGTTGGAAGCTGGAATACATACAAATTGCAGACTGCAGCGTTCTGAGAAACATCTTTGTGATGTTTGTATTCAGGACACAGAGTTGAACATTCCCTATCATAGAGCAGGTTTGAATCACTCCTTTTGTAGTATCTGGAAGTGGACATTTGGAGCGCTTTCAGGCCTATGTTGGAAAAGGAAATATCTTCCCATAACAACTAGACAGAAGCATTCTCAGAAACTTATTTGAGATGTGTGTACTCAACTAAGAGAATTGAACCACCGTTTTGAAGGAGCAGTTTTGAAACTCTCTTTTTCTGGAATCTGCAAGTGGATATTTGGCTAGCTTTGGGGATTTCGCTGGAAGCGGGAATACATATAAAAAGCACACAGCAGCGTTCTGAGAAACTGCTTTCTGATGTTTGCATTCAAGTCAAAAGTTGAACACTCCCTTTCATAGAGCAGTCTTGAAACACCCCTTTTGTAGTATCTGGAACTGGACTTTTGGAGCGATTTCAGGGCTAAGGTGAAAAAGGAAATATCTTCCCATAAAAACTGGACAGAAGCATTCTCAGAAACTTGTTTATGCTGTATCTACTCAACTAACAAAGTTGAACCTTTCTTTTGATAGAGCAGTTTTGAAATGGTCTTTTTGTGGAATCTGCAAGTGGATATTTGGCTAGTTTTGAGGATTTCGTTGGAAGCGGGAATTCATACAAATTGCAGACTGCAGCGTTCTGAGAAACATCTTTGTGATGTTTGTATTCAGGACAGAGAGTTGAACATTCCCTATCATAGAGCAGGTTGGAATCACTCCTTTTGTAGTATCTGGAAGTGGACATTTGGAGCGCTTTCAGGCCTATGTTGAAAAAGGAAATATCTTCCCATAACAACTAGACACAAGCATTCTCAGAAACTTGTTTGTGATGTGTGCCCTCTACTGACAGAGTTGAACCTTTCTTTTCATAGAGCAGTTTTGAAACACTCTTTTTGTAGAATCTGCAAGAGGATATTTGCATAGCTTTGAGGATTTCGTGGGAAACGGGATTGTCTTCAGGTAAAATCTAGACAGAAGCATTCTCAGAAACTTCATTGTGATGTTTGCATTCAAGTCACAGAGTAGAACATTCCCTTTGGTAGAGCAGGTTTGAAACCCTCTTTTTGTAGTATCTGGAAGTGGACATTTAGAGCGCATTCAGGCCCATGTTGGAAAGGGAAATATCTTCCTGTAACAACTAGGCAGAAGCATTCTCAGAAACTTATTTGAGATGTGTGTACTCAACTAAGAGAATTGAACCACCGTTTTGAAGGAGCAGTTTTGAAACACTCTTTTTCTGGAATCTGCAAGAGGATATTTGCCTAGCCTTGAGGATTTCGTTGGAAACGGGATTGTCTTCAGATAAAATCTAGACAGAAGCATTCTCAGAAACTTCTTTGGGATGTTTGCATTCAAGTCACAGAGTAGAACATTCCCTTTGGTAGAGCAGGTTTGAAACACTCTTTTTTTAGTATATGGAAGTGGACATTTGGAGCGCTTTCAGGCCTACGTTGGAAAAGGAAATATCTTCCCATAACAACTAGACAGAAGCATTCTCAGAAACTAGTTTCTGATGTGTGTCCTCAACTAACACAGTTGAACATTTCTTTAGACAGAACAGTTTTGAAACACTCTTTTTGTGGAATCTGCAAGTGGCTATTTGGCTAGATTTGAGGATTTCGTTGGAAACGGGATTACATATAAAAAGCAGACAGCAGCATTCTCAGAAAGTTCTTTGGGATGATTGCATTCAAGTCACAGAATTGAACATTCCCTTTCACAGAGCAGGTTTGAAACACTCTTTTTGTAGTGTGTGTAAGTGGACATTTGGAGCACTTTCTGGCCTAAGGTGAAAAAGGAAATATCTTCCCATAAAAACTAGACAGAAGCATTCTCAGAAACTTACTCGTGATGTGTGTCCTCAACTAAAGGAGTAGAACCTTTCTTTTCATAGAGAAGTTTTGAAACGCTCTTTTTGTGGAATCTGCAAGTGGATATTTGGCTAGTTTTGAGGATTTCGTTGGAAGCGGGAATTCATACAAATTGCAGACTGCAGCGTTCTGAGAAACATCTTTGTGATGTTTGTATTCAGGACACAGAGTTGAACATTCCCTATCATAGAGCAGGTTTGAATCACTCCTTTTGTAGTATCTGGAAGTGGACATTTGGAGCGCTTTCAGGCCTATGTTGGAAAAGGAAATATCTTCCCATAACAACTAGACAGAAGCATTCTCAGAAACTTATTTGAGATGTGTGTACTCAACTAAGAGAATTGAACCACCGTTTTGAAGGAGCAGTTTTGAAACACTCTTTTTCTGGAATCTGCAAGTGGATATTTGGCTAGCTTTGGGGATTTCGCTGGAAGCGGGAATACATATAAAAAGCACACAGCAGCGTTCTGAGAAACTGCTTTCTGATGTTTGCATTCAAGTCAAAAGTTGAACACTCCCTTTCATAGAGCAGTCCTGAAACACCCCTTTTGTAGTATCTGGAACTGGACTTTTGGAGCGATTTCAGGGCTAAGGTGAAAAAGGAAATATCTTCCCATAAAAACTGGACAGAAGCATTCTCAGAAACTTGTTTATGCTGTATCTACTCTACTAAAAAAGTTGAACCTTTCTTTTGATAGAGCAGTTTTGAAATGCTCTTTTTGTGGAATCTGCAAGTGGATATTTGGCTAGATTTGAGGATTTCGTTGGAAGCTGGAATACATACAAATTGCAGACTGCAGCGTTCTGAGAAACATCTTTGTGATGTTTGTATTCAGGACACAGAGTTGAACATTCCCTATCATAGAGCAGGTTGGAATCACTCCTTTTGTAGTATCTGGAAGTGGACATTTGGAGCGCTTTCAGGCCTATGTTGAAAAAGGAAATATCTTCCCATAACAACTAGACACAAGCATTCTCAGAAACTTGTTTGTGATGTGTGCCCTCTACTGACAGAGTTGAACCTTTCTTTTCATAGAGCAGTTTTGAAACACTCTTTTTGTAGAATCTGCAAGAGGATATTTGCATAGCTTTGAGGATTTCGTGGGAAACGGGATTGTCTTCAGGTAAAATCTAGACAGAAGCATTCTCAGAAACTTCTTTGGGATGTTTGCATTCAAGTCACAGAGTAGAACATTCCCTTTGGTAGAGCAGGTTTGAAACCCTTTTTTTGTAGTATCTGGAAGTGGACATTTGGAGCGCTTTCAGGCCCATGTTGGAAAGGGAAATATCTTCCCGTAACAACTAGGCAGAAGCATTCTCAGAAACTTATTTGAGATGTGTGTACTCAACTAAGAGAATTGAACCACCGTTTTGAAGGAGCAGTTTTGAAACACTCTTTTTCTGGAATCTGCAAGAGTATATTTGCCTAGCCTTGAGGATTTCGTTGGAAACGGGATTGTCTTCAGAGAAAATCTAGACAGAAGCATTCTCAGAAACTTCTTTGGGATGCTTGCATTCAAGTCACAGAGTAGAACATTCCCTTTGGTAGAGCAGGTTTGAAACACTCTTTTTGTAGTATCTGGAAGTGGACATTTGGAGCGCTTTCAGGCCTACGTTGGAAAAGGAAATATCTTCCCATAACAACTAGACAGAAGCATTCTCAGAAACTAGTTTCTGATGTGTGTCCTCAACTAACACAGTTGAACATTTCTTTAGACAGAACAGTTTTGAAACACTCTTTTTGTGGAATCTGCAAGTGGCTATTTGGCTAGATTTGAGGATTTCGTTGGAAACGGGATTACATATAAAAAGCAGTCAGCAGCATTCTCAGAAAGTTCTTTGTGATGATTGCATTCAAGTCACAGAATTGAACATTCCCTTTCACAGAGCAGGTTTGAAACACTCTTTTTGTAGTGTGTGTAAGTGGACATTTGGAGCACTTACCGGCCTAAGGTGAAAAAGGAAATATCTTCCCATAAAAACTAGACAGAAGCATTCTCAGAAACTTACTCGTGATGTGTGTCCTCAACTAAAGGAGTAGAACCTTTCTTTTTATAGAGAAGTTTTGAAACGCTCTTTTTGTGGAATCTGCAAGTGGATATTTGGCTAGTTTTGAGGATTTCGTTGGAAGCGGGAATTCATACAAATTGCAGACTGCAGCGTTCTGAGAAACATCTTTGTGATGTTTGTATTCAGGACACAGAGTTGAACATTCCCTATCATAGAGCAGGTTGGAATCACTCCTTTTGTAGTATCTGGAAGTGGACATTTGGAGCGCTTTCAGGCCTATGTTGGAAAAGGAAATATCTTCCCATAACAACTAGACAGAAGCATTCTCAGAAACTTATTTGAGATGTGTGTACTCAACTAAGAGAATTGAACCACCGTTTTGAAGGAGCAGTTTTGAAACTCTCTTTTTCTGGAATCTGCAAGTGGATATTTGGCTAGCTTTGGGGATTTCGCTGGAAGCGGGAATACATATAAAAAGCACACAGCAGCGTTCTGAGAAACTGCTTTCTGATGTTTGCATTCAAGTCAAAAGTTGAACACTCCCTTTCATAGAGCAGTCCTGAAACACCCCTTTTGTAGTATCTGGAACTGGACTTTTGGAGCGATTTCAGGGCTAAGGTGAAAAAGGAAATATCTTCCCATAAAAACTGGACAGAAGCATTCTCAGAAACTTGTTTATGCTGTATCTACTCAACTAACAAAGTTGAACCTTTCTTTTGATAGAGCAGTTTTGAAATGCTCTTTTTGTGGAATCTGCAAGTGGATATTTGGCTAGTTTTGAGGATTTCGTTGGAAGCGGGAATTCATACAAATTGCAGACTGCAGCGTTCTGAGAAACATCTTTGTGATGTTTGTATTCAGGACAGAGAGTTGAACATTCCCTATCATAGAGCAGGTTGGAATCACTCCTTTTGTAGTATCTGGAAGTGGACATTTGGAGCGCTTTCAGGACTATGTTGAAAAAGGAAATATCTTCCCATAACAACTAGACACAAGCATTCTCAGAAACTTGTTTGTGATGTGTGCCCTCTACTGACAGAGTTGAACCTTTCTTTTCATAGAGCAGTTTTGAAACACTCTTTTTGTAGAATCTGCAAGAGGATATTTGCATAGCTTTGAGGATTTCGTGGGAAACGGGATTGTCTTCAGGTAAAATCTAGACAGAAGCATTCTCAGAAACTTCTTTGGGATGTTTGCATTCAAGTCACAGAGTAGAACATTCCCTTTGGTAGAGCAGGTTTGAAACACTCTTTTTGTAGTATCTGGAAGTGGACATTTGGAGCGCTTTCAGGCCTATGTTGGAAAGGGAAATATCTTCCCGTAACAACTAGGCAGAAGCATTCTCAGAAACTTATTTGAGATGTGTGTACTCAACTAAGAGAATTGAACCACCGTTTTGAAGGAGCAGTTTTGAAACACTCTTTTTCTGGAATCTGCAAGAGGATATTTGCCTAGCCTTGAGGATTTCGTTGGAAACGGGATTGTCTTCAGATCAAATCTAGACAGAAGCATTCTCAGAAACTTCTTTGGGATGTTTGCATTCAAGTCACAGAGTAGAACATTCCCTTTGGTAGAGCAGGTGTGAAACACTCTTTTTTTAGTATATGGAAGTGGACATTTGGAGCGCTTTCAGGCCTACGTTGGAAAAGGAAATATCTTCCCATAACAACTAGACAGAAGCATTCTCAGAAACTAGTTTCTGATGTGTGTCCTCAACTAACACAGTTGAACATTTCTTTAGACAGAACAGTTTTGAAACACTCTTTTTGTGGAATCTGCAAGTGGCTATTTGGCTAGATTTGAGGATTTCGTTGGAAACGGGATTACATATAAAAAGCAGTCAGCAGCATTCTCAGAAAGTTCTTTGTGATGATTGCATTCAAGTCACAGAATTGAACATTCCCTTTCACAGAGCAGGTTTGAAACACTCTTTTTGTAGTGTGTGTAAGTGGACATTTGGAGCGCTTTCCGGCCTAAGGTGAAAAAGGAAATATCTTCCCATAGAAACTAGAGAGAAGCATTCTCAGAAACTTACTCGTGATGTGTGTCCTCAACTAAAGGAGTAGAACCTTTCTATTCATAGAGAAGTTTTGAAACGCTCTTTTTGTGGAATCTCAAAGTGGATATTTGGCTAGTTTTGAGGATTTCGTTGGAAGTGGGAATTCATACAAATTGCAGACTGCAGCGTTCTGAGAAACATCTTTGAAATGTTTGTATTCAAGACACAGAGATGAACATTCCCTATCATAGAGCAGGTTGGAATCACTCCTTTTGTAGTATCTGGAAGTGGACATTTGGAGCGCTTTCAGGCCTATGTTGAAAAAGGAAATATCTTCCCATAACAACTAGACACAAGCATTCTCAGAAACTTGTTTGTGATGTGTGCCCTCTACTGACAGAGTTGAACCTTTCTTTTCATAGAGCAGTTTTGAAACACTCTTTTTGTAGAATCTGCAAGAGGATATTTGCATAGCTTTGAGGATTTCGTGGGAAACGGGATTGTCTTCAGGTAAAATCTAGACAGAAGCATTCTCAGAAACTTCTTTGGGATGTTTGCATTCAAGTCACAGAGTAGAACATTCCCTTTGGTAGAGCAGGTTTGAAACACTCTTTTTGTAGTATCTGGAAGTGGACATTTGGAGCACTTTCAGGCCCATGTTGGAAAAGGAAATATCTTCCTGTAGCAACTAGGCAGAAGCATTCTCAGAAACTTATTTGAGATGTGTGTACTCAACTAAGAGAATTGAACCACCGTTTTGAAGGAGCAGTTTTGAAACACTCTTTTTCTGGAATCTGCAAGAGTATATTTGCCTAGCCTTGAGGATTTCGTTGGAAACGGGATTGTCTTCAGAGAAAATCTAGACAGAAGCATTCTCAGAAACTTCTTTGGGATGTTTGCATTCAAGTCACAGAGTAGAACATTCCCTTTGGTAGAGCAGGTTTGAAACACTCTTTTTTTAGTATATGGAAGTGGACATTTTGATCGCTTTCAGGCCTACGTTGGAAAAGGAAATATCTTCCCATAACAACTAGACAGAAGCATTCTCAGAAACTAGTTTCTGATGTGTGTCCTCAACTAACACAGTTGAACATTTCTTTAGACAGAACAGTTTTGAAACACTCTTTTTGTGGAATCTGCAAGTGGCTATTTGGCTAGATTTGAGGATTTCGTTGGAAACGGGATTACATATAAAAAGCAGTCAGCAGCATTCTCAGAAAGTTCTTTGTGATGATTGCATTCAAGTCACAGAATTGAACATTCCCTTTCACAGAGCAGGTTTGAAACACTCTTTTTGTAGTGTGTGTAAGTGGACATTTGGAGCACTTACCGGCCTAAGGTGAAAAAGGAAATATCTTCCCATAAAAACTAGACAGAAAGCATTCTCAGGAACTTACTCGTGATGTGTGTCCTCAACTAAAGAAGTAGAACCTTTCTTTTCATAGATAAGTTTTGAAACGCTCTTTTTGTGGAATCTGCAAGTGGATGTTTGGCTAGTTTTGAGGATTTCGTTGGAAGCGGGAATTCATACAAATTGCAGACTGCAGCGTTCTGAGAAACATCTTTGTGATGTTTGTATTCAGGACACAGAGTTGAACATTCCCTATCATAGAGCAGGTTGGAATCACTCCTTTTGTAGTATCTGGAAGTGGACATTTGGAGCGCTTTCAGGCCTATGTTGAAAAAGGAAATATCTTCCCATAACAACTAGACACAAGCATTCTCAGAAACTTATTTGAGATGTGTGTACTCAACTAAGAGAATTGAACCACCGTTTTGAAGGAGCAGTTTTGAAACACTCTTTTTCTGGAATCTGCAAGTGGATATTTGGCTAGCTTTGGGGATTTCGCTGGAAGCGGGAATACATATAAAAAGCACACAGCAGCGTTCTGAGAAACTGCTTTCTGATGTTTGCATTCAAGTCAAAAGTTGAACACTCCCTTTCATAGAGCAGTCCTGAAACACTCCTTTTGTAGTATCTGGAACTGGACTTTTGGAGCGCTTTCAGGGCTAAGGTGAAAAAGGAAATATCTTCCCATAAAAACTGGACAGAAGCATTCTCAGAAACTTGTTTATGCTGTATCTACTCAACTAACAAATTTGAACCTTTCTTTTGATAGAGCAGTTTTGAAATGCTCTTTTTGTGGAATCTGCAAGTGGATATTTGGCTAGTTTTGAGGATTTCGTTGGAAGCGGGAATTCATACAAATTGCAGACTGCAGCGTTCTGAGAAACATCTTTGTGGTGTTTGTATTCAGGACAGAGAGTTGAACATTCCCTATCATAGAGCAGGTTGGAATCACTCCTTTTGTAGTATCTGGAAGTGGACATTTGGAGCGCTTTCAGGCCTATGTTGAAAAAGGAAATATCTTCCCATAACAACTAGACACAAGCATTCCCAGAAACTTATTTGAGATGTGTGTACTCAACTAAGAGAATTGAACCACCGTTTTGAAGGAGCAGTTTGGAAACACTCTTTTTCTGGAATCTGCAAGTGGATATTTGGCTAGCTTTGGGGATTTCGCTGGAAGCGGGAATACATATAAAAAGCACACAGCAGCGTTCTGAGAAACTGCTTTCTGATGTTTGCATTCAAGTCAAAAGTTGAACACTCCCTTTCATAGAGCAGTCTTGAAACACCCCTTTTGTAGTATGTGGAACTGGACATTTGGAGCGCTTTCAGGGCTAAGGTGAAAAAGGAAATATCTTCCCATAAAAACTGGACAGAAGCATTCTCAGAAACTTGTTTATGCTGTATCTACTCAACTAACAATGTTGAACCTTTCTTTTGATAGAGCAGTTTTGAAATGCTCTTTTTGTGGAATCTGCAAGTGGATATTTGGCTAGTTTTGAGGATTTCGTTGGAAGCGGGAATTCATACAAATTGCAGACTGCAGCGTTCTGAGAAACATCTTTGTGATGTTTGTATTCAGGACACAGAGTTGAACATTCCCTATCATAGTAGCAGGTTTGAATCACTCCTTTTGTAGTATCTGGAAGTGGACATTTGGAGCGCTTTCAGGCCTATGTTGGAAAAGGAAATATCTTCCCATAACAACTAGACAGAAGCATTCTCAGAAACTTATTTGAGATGTGTGTACTCAACTAAGAGAATTGAACCACCGTTTTGAAGGAGCAGTTTTGAAACTCTCTTTTTCTGGAATCTGCAAGTGGATATTTGGCTAGCTTTGGGGATTTCGCTGGAAGCGGGAATACATATAAAAAGCACACAGCAGCGTTCTGAGAAACTGCTTTCTGATGTTTGCATTCAAGTCAAAAGTTGAACACTCCCTTTCATAGAGCAGTCCTGAAACACCCCTTTTGTAGTATCTGGAACTGGACTTTTGGAGCGATTTCAGGGCTAAGGTGAAAAAGGAAATATCTTCCCATAAAAACTGGACAGAAGCATTCTCAGAAACTTGTTCATGCTGTATCTACTCTACTAAAAAAGTTGAACCTTTCTTTTGATAGAGCAGTTTTGAAATGCTCTTTTTGTGGAATCTGCAAGTGGATATTTGGCTAGATTTGAGGATTTCGTTGGAAGCTGGAATACATACAAATTGCAGACTGCAGCGTTCTGAGAAACATCTTTGTGATGTTTGTATTCAGGACACAGAGTTGAACATTCCCTATCATAGAGCAGGTTGGAATCACTCCTTTTGTAGTATCTGGAAGTGGACATTTGGAGCGCTTTCAGGCCTATGTTGAAAAAGGAAATATCTTCCCATAACAACTAGACACAAGCATTCTCAGAAACTTGTTTGTGATGTGTGCCCTCTACTGACAGAGTTGAACCTTTCTTTTCATAGAGCAGTTTTGAAACACTCTTTTTGTAGAATCTGCAAGAGGATATTTGCATAGCTTTGAGGATTTCGTGGGAAACGGGATTGTCTTCAGGAAAAATCTAGACAGAAGCATTCTCAGAAACTTCTTTGGGATGTTTGCATTCAAGTCACAGAGTAGAACATTCCCTTTGGTAGAGCAGGTTTGAAACACTCTTTTTGTAGTATCTGGAAGTGGACATTTGGAGCGCTTTCAGGCCCATGTTGGAAAGGGAAATATCTTCCCGTAACAACTAGGCAGAAGCATTCTCAGAAACTTATTTGAGATGTGTGTACTCAACTAAGAGAATTGAACCACCGTTTTGAAGGAGCAGTTTTGAAACCCTCTTTTTCTGGAATCTGCAAGAGTATATTTGCCTAGCCTTGAGGATTTCGTTGGAAACGGGATTGTCTTCAGATAAAATCTAGACAGAAGCATTCTCAGAAACTTCTTTGGGATGTTTGCATTCAAGTCACAGAGTAGAACATTCCCTTTGGTAGAGCAGGTTTGAAACACTCTTTTTTTAGTATATGGAAGTGGACATTTGGAGCGCTTTCAGGCCTACGTTGGAAAAGGAAATATCTTCCCATAACAACTAGACAGAAGCATTCTCAGAAACTAGTTTCTGATGTGTGTCCTCAACTAACACAGTTGAACATTTCTTTAGACAGAACAGTTTTGAAACACTCTTTTTGTGGAATCTGCAAGTGGCTATTTGGCTAGATTTGAGGATTTCGTTGGAAACGGGATTACATATAAAAAGCAGACAGCAGCATTCTCAGAAAGTTCTTTGTGATGATTGCATTCAAGTCACAGAATTGAACATTCCCTTTCACAGAGCAGGTTTGAAACACTCTTTTTGTAGTGTGTGTAAGTGGACATTTGGAGCACTTTCCGGCCTAAGGTGAAAAAGGAAATATCTTCCCATAAAAACTAGACAGAAGCAATCTCAGAAACTTACTCGTGATGTGTGTCCTCAACTAAAGGAGTAGAACCTTTCTTTTCATAGAGAAGTTTTGAAACGCTCTTTTTGTGGAATCTGCAAGTGGATATTTGGCTAGTTTGGAGGATTTCGTTGGAAGCGGGAATTCATACAAATTGCAGACTGCAGCGTTCTGAGAAACATCTTTGTGATGTTTGTATTCAGGACACAGAGTTGAACATTCCCTATCATAGAGCAGGTTTGAATCACTCCTTTTGTAGTATCTGGAAGTGGACATTTGGAGCGCTTTCAGGCCTATGTTGGAAAAGGAAATATCTTCCCATAACAACTAGACAGAAGCATTCTCAGAAACTTATTTGAGATGTGTGTACTCAACTAAGAGAATTGAACCACCGTTTTGAAGGAGCAGTTTTGAAACACTCTTTTTCTGGAATCTGCAAGTGGATATTTGGCTAGCTTTGGGGATTTCGCTGGAAGCGGGAATACATATAAAAAGCACACAGCAAGCGTTCTGAGAAACTGCTTTCTGATGTTTGCATTCAAGTCAAAAGTTGAACACTCCCTTTCATAGAGCAGTCTTGAAACACCCCTTTTGTAGTATCTGGAACTGGACTTTTGGAGCGATTTCAGGGCTAAGGTGAAAAAGGAAATATCTTCCCATAAAAACTGGACAGAAGCATTCTCAGAAACTTGTTTATGCTGTATCTACTCAACTAACAAAGTTGAACCTTTCTTTTGATAGAGCAGTTTTGAAATGGTCTTTTTGTGGAATCTGCAAGTGGATATTTGGCTAGTTTTGAGGATTTCGTTGGAAGCGGGAATTCATACAAATTGCAGACTGCAGCGTTCTGAGAAACATCTTTGTGATGTTTGTATTCAGGACACAGAGTTGAACATTCCCTATCATAGAGCAGGTTTGAATCACTCCTTTTGTAGTATCTGGAAGTGGACATTTGGAGCGCTTTCAGGCCTATGTTGGAAAAGGAAATATCTTCCCATAACAACTAGACAGAAGCATTCTCAGAAACTTATTTGAGATGTGTGTACTCAACTAAGAGAATTGAACCACCGTTTTGAAGGAGCAGTTTTGAAACTCTCTTTTTCTGGAATCTGCAAGTGGATATTTGGCTAGCTTTGGGGATTTCGCTGGAAGCGGGAATACATATAAAAAGCACACAGCAGCGTTCTGAGAAACTGCTTTCTGATGTTTGCATTCAAGTCAAAAGTTGAACACTCCCTTTCATAGAGCAGTCCTGAAACACCCCTTTTGTAGTATCTGGAACTGGACTTTTGGAGCGATTTCAGGGCTAAGGTGAAAAAGGAAATATCTTCCCATAAAAACTGGACAGAAGCATTCTCAGAAACTTGTTTATGCTGTATCTACTCAACTAACAAAGTTGAACCTTTCTTTTGATAGAGCAGTTTTGAAATGGTCTTTTTGTGGAATCTGCAAGTGGATATTTGGCTAGTTTTGAGGATTTCGTTGGAAGCGGGAATTCATACAAATTGCAGACTGCAGCGTTCTGAGAAACATCTTTGTGATGTTTGTATTCAGGACACAGAGTTGAACATTCCCTATCATAGAGCAGGTTGGAATCACTCCTTTTGTAGTATCTGGAAGTGGACATTTGGAGCGCTTTCAGGCCTATGTTGGAAAAGGAAATATCTTCCCATAACAACTAGACAGAAGCATTCTCAGAAACTTATTTGAGATGTGTGTACTCAACTAAGAGAATTGAACCACCGTTTTGAAGGAGCAGTTTTGAAACACTCTTTTTCTGGAATCTGCAAGTGGATATTTGGCTAGCTTTGGGGATTTCGCTGGAAGCGGGAATACATATAAAAAGCACACAGCAGCGTTCTGAGAAACTGCTTTCTGATGTTTGCATTCAAGTCAAAAGTTGAACACTCCCTTTCATAGAGCAGTCTTGAAACACCCCTTTTGTAGTATCTGGAACTGGACTTTTGGAGCGATTTCAGGGCTAAGGTGAAAAAGGAAATATCTTCCCATAAAAACTGGACAGAAGCATTCTCAGAAACTTGTTTATGCTGTATCTACTCAACTAACAAAGTTGAACCTTTCTTTTGATAGAGCAGTTTTGAAATGGTCTTTTTGTGGAATCTGCAAGTGGATATTTGGCTAGTTTTGAGGATTTCGTTGGAAGCGGGAATTCATACAAATTGCAGACTGCAGCGTTCTGAGAAACATCTTTGTGATGTTTGTATTCAGGACACAGAGTTGAACATTCCCTATCATAGAGCAGGTTTGAATCACTCCTTTTGTAGTATCTGGAAGTGGACATTTGGAGCGCTTTCAGGCCTATGTTGGAAAAGGAAATATCTTCCCATAACAACTAGACAGAAGCATTCTCAGAAACTTATTTGAGATGTGTGTACTCAACTAAGAGAATTGAACCACCGTTTTGAAGGAGCAGTTTTGAAACACTCTTTTTCTGGAATCTGCAAGTGGATATTTGGCTAGCTTTGGGTATTTCGCTGGAAGCGGGAATACATATAAAAAGCACACAGCAGCATTCTCAGAAACTTATTTGAGATGTGTGTACTCAACTAAGAGAATTGAACCACCGTTTTGAAGGAGCAGTTTTGAAACACTCTTTTTCTGGAATCTGCAAGTGGATATTTGGCTAGCTTTGGGGATTTCGCTGGAAGCGGGAATACATATAAAAAGCACACAGCAGCGTTCTGAGAAACTGCTTTCTGATGTTTGCATTCAAGTCAAAAGTTGAACACTCCCTTTCATAGAGCAGTCCTGAAACACTCCTTTTGTAGTATCTGGAACTGGACTTTTGGAGCGCTTTCAGGGCTAAGGTGAAAAAGGAAATATCTTCCCATAAAAACTGGACAGAAGCATTCTCAGAAACTTGTTTATGCTGTATCTACTCAACTAACAAAGTTGAACCTTTCTTTTGATAGAGCAGTTTTGAAATGCTCTTTTTGTGGAATCTGCAAGTGGATATTTGGCTAGTTTTGAGGATTTCGTTGGAAGCGGGAATTCATACAAATTGCAGACTGCAGCGTTCTGAGAAACATCTTTGTGATGTTTGTATTCAGGACACAGAGTTGAACATTCCCTATCATAGAGCAGGTTGGAATCACTCCTTTTGTAGTATCTGGAAGTGGCCATTTCGAGCGCTTTCAGGCCTATGTTGAAAAAGGAAATATCTTCCCATAACAAGTAGACACAAGCATTCTCAGAAACTTGTTTGTGATGTGTGCCCTCTACTGACAGAGTTGAACCTTGCTTTTCATAGAGCAGTTTCGAAACACTCTTTTTGTAGAATCTGCAAGAGGATATTTGCATAGCTTTGAGGATTTCGTGGGAAACGGGATTGTCTTCAGGTAAAATCTAGACAGAAGCATTCTCAGAAAATTCTTCGGGCTGTTTGCATTCAAGTCACAGAGTAGAACATTCCCTTTGGTAGAGCAGGTTTGAAACACTCTTTTTGTAGTATCTGGAAGTGGACATTTGGAGCGCTTTCAGGCCTATGTTGGAAAGGGAAATATCTTCCCGTAACAACTAGGCAGAAGCATTCTCAGAAACTTATTTGAGATGTGTGTACTGAACTAAGAGAATTGAACCACCCTTTTGAAGGAGCAGGTTTGAAAAACTCTTTTTGTAGTATCTGGAAGTGGACATTTGGAGCGCTTTCAGGCCTATGTTGGAAAGGGAAATATCTTCCCGTAACAACTAGGCAGAAGCATTCTCAGAAACTTATTTGAGATGTGTGTACTCAACTAAGAGAATTGAACCACCGTTTTGAAGGAGCAGTTTTGAAACACTCTTTTTCTGGAATCTGCAAGAGGATATTTGCATAGATTTGAGGATTTCGTTGGAAACGGGATTGTCTTCAGATCCAATCTAGACAGAAGCATTCTCAGAAACTTCTTTGGTATGTCTGCATTCAAGTCACAGAGTAGAACATTCCCTTTGGTAGAGCAGGTTTGAAACACTCTTTTTTTAGTATATGGAAGTGGACATTTGGAGCGCTTTCAGGCCTACGTTGGAAAAGGAAATATCTTCCCATAACAACTAGACAGAAGCATTCTCAGAAACTAGTTTCTGATGTGTGTCCTCAACTAACACAGTTGAACATTTCTTTAGACAGAACAGTTTTGAAACACTCTCTTTGTGGAATCTGCAAGTGGATATTTGGCTAGATTTGAGGATTTCGTTGGAAACGGGATTACATATAAAAAGCAGACAGCAGCATTCTCAGAACGTTCTTTGTGATGATTGCATTCAAGTCACAGAATTGAACATTCCCTTTCACAGAGCAGGTTTGAAACACTCTTTTTGTAGTGTGTGTAAGTGGACATTTGGAGCACTTTCCGGCCTAAGGTGAAAAAGGAAATATCTTCCCATAAAAACTAGACAGAAGCATTCTCAGAAACTTACTCGTGATGTGTGTCCTCAACTAAAGGAGTAGAACCTTTCTTTTCATAGAGAAGTTTTGAAACGCTCTTTTTGTGGAATCTGCAAGTGGATATTTGGCTAGTTTTGAGGATTTCGTTGGAAGCGGGAATTCATACAAATTGCAGACTGCAGCGTTCTGAGAAACATCTTTGTGATGTTTGTATTCAGGACACAGAGTTGAACATTCCCTATCATAGAGCAGGTTTGAATCATTCCTTTTGTAGTATCTGGAAGTGGACATTTGGAGCGCTTTCAGGCCTATGTTGGAAAAGGAAATATCTTCCCATAACAACTAGACAGAAGCATTCTCAGAAACTTATTTGAGATGTGTGTACTCAACTAAGAGAATTGAACCACCGTTTTGAAGGAGCAGTTTTGAAACACTCTTTTTCTGGAATCTGCAAGTGGATATTTGGCTAGCTTTGGGGATTTCGCTGGAAGCGGGAATACATATAAAAAGCACACAGCAGCGTTCTGAGAAACTGCTTTCTGATGTTTGCATTCAAGTCAAAAGTTGAACACTCCCTTTCATAGAGCAGTCTTGAAACACCCCTTTTGTAGTATCTGGACCTGGACTTTTGGAGCGATTTCAGGGCTAAGGTGAAAAAGGAAATATCTTCCCATAAAAACTGGACAGAAGCATTCTCAGAAACTTGGTTATGCTGTATCTACTCAACTAACAAAGTTGAACCTTTCTTTTGATAGAGCAGTTTTGAAATGGTCTTTTTGTGGAATCTGCAAGTGGATATTTGGCTAGTTTTGAGGATTTCGTTGGAAGCGGGAATTCATACAAATTGCAGACTGCAGCGTTCTGAGAAACATCTTTGTGATGTTTGTATTCAGGACACAGAGTTGAACATTCCCTATCATAGAGCAGGTTGGAATCACTCCTTTTGTAGTATCTGGAAGTGGACATTTGGAGCGCTTTCAGGCCTATTTTGGAAAGGGAAATATCTTCCCGTAACAACTATGCAGAAGCATTCTCAGAAACTTGTTTGTGTTGTGTGCCCTCTACTGACAGAGTTGAACCTTTCTTTTCATAGAGCAGTTTTGAAACACTCTTTTTGTAGAATCCGCAAGAGGATATTTGCATAGCTTTGAGGATTTCGTGGGAAACGGGATTGTCTTCAGGTAAAATCTAGACAGAAGCATTCTCAGAAACTTCTTTGGGATGTTTGCATTCAAGTCACAGAGTAGAACATTCCCTTTGGTAGAGCAGGTTTGAAACACTCTTTTTGTAGTATCTGGAAGTGGACATTTGGAGCGCTTTCAGGACCATGTTGGAAAGGGAAATATCTTCCCGTAACAACTAGGCAGAAGCATTCTCAGAAACTTATTTGAGATGTGTGTACTCAACTAAGAGAACTGAACCACCGTTTTGAAGGAGCAGTTTTGAAACACTCTTTTTCTGGAATCTGCAAGAGAATATTTGCCTAGACTTGAGGATTTCGTTGGAAACGGGATTGTCTTCAGATAAAATCTAGACAGAAGCATTCTCAGAAACTTCTTTGGGATGTTTGCATTCAAGTCACAGAGTAGAACATTCCCTTTGGTAGAGCAGGTTTGAAACACTCTTTTTTTAGTATATGGAAGTGGACATTTGGAGCGCTTTCAGGCCTACGTTGGAAAAGGAAATATCTTCCCATAACAACTAGACAGAAGCATTCTCAGAAACTAGTTTCTGATGTGTGTCCTCAACTAACACAGTTGTACATTTCTTTAGACAGAACAGTTTTGAAACACTCTTTTTGTGGAATCTGCAAGTGGATATTGGGCTAGATTTGAGGATTTCGTTGGAAACGGGATTACATATAAAAAGCAGTCAGCAGCATTCTCAGAAAGTTCTTTGTGATGATTGCATTCAAGTCACAGAATTGAACATTCCCTTTCACAGAGCAGGTTTGAAACACTCTTTTTGTAGTGTGTGTAAGTGGACATTTGGAGCGCTTTCCGGCCTAAGGTGAAAAAGGACATATCTTCCCATAAAAACTAGACAGAAGCATTCTCAGAAACTTACTCGTGATGTGTGTCCTCAACTAAAGGAGTAGAACCTTTCTATTCATAGAGAAGTTTTGAAACGCTCTTTTTGTGGAATCTCCAAGTGGATATTTGGCTAGTTTTGAGGATTTCGTTGGAAGCGGGAATTCATACAAATTGCAGACTGCAGCGTTCTGAGAAACATCTTTGTGATGTTTGTATTCAGGACACGGAGATGAACATTCCCTATCATAGAGCAGGTTGGAATCACTCCTTTTGTAGTATCTGGAAGTGGACATTTGGAGCGCTTTCAGGCCTATGTTGAAAAAGGAAATATCTTCCCATAACAACTAGACACAAGCATTCTCAGAAACTTGTTTGTGATGTGTGCCCTCTACTGACAGAGTTGAACCTTTCTTTTCATAGAGCAGTTTTGAAACACTCTTTTTGTAGAATCCGCAAGAGGATATTTGCATAGCTTTGAGGATTTCGTGGGAAACGGGATTGTCTTCAGGTAAAATCTAGACAGAAGCATTCTCAGAAACTTCTTTGGGATGTTTGCATTCAAGTCACAGAGTAGAACATTCCCTTTGGTAGAGCAGGTTTGAAACACTCTTTTTGTAGTATCTGGAAGTGGACATTTGGAGCGCTTTCAGGACCATGTTGGAAAGGGAAATATCTTCCCGTAACAACTAGGCAGAAGCATTCTCAGAAACTTATTTGAGATGTGTGTACTCAACTAAGAGAATTGAACCACCGTTTTGAAGGAGCAGTTTTGAAACACTCTTTTTCTGGAATCTGCAAGAGGATATTTGCCTAGCTTTGAGGATTTCGTTGGAAACGGGATTGTGTTCAGATCAAATCTAGACAGAAGCATTCTCAGAAACTTCTTTGGGATGTTTGCATTCATGTCACAGAGTAGAACATTCCCTTTGGTAGAGCAGGTTTGAAACACTCTTTTTTAAGTATATGGAAGTGGACATTTGGAGCGCTTTCAGGCCTACGTTGTAAAAGGAAATATCTTCCCATAACAACTAGACAGAAGCATTCTCAGAAACTAGTTTCTGATGTGTGTCCTCAACTAACACAGTTGAACATTTCTTTAGACAGAACAGTTTTGAAACACTCTTTTTGTGGAATCTGCAAGTGGCTATTTGGCTAGATTTGAGGATTTCGTTGGAAACGGGATTACATATAAAAAGCAGTCAGCAGCATTCTCAGAAACTTCTTTGTGATGATTGCATTCAAGTCACAGAATTGAACATTCCCTTTCACAGAGCAGGTTTGAAACACTCTTTTTGTAGTGTGTGTAAGTGGACATTTGGAGCGCTTTCCGGCCTAAGGTGAACAAGGAAATATCTTCCCATAAAAACTAGACAGAAAGCATTCTCAGGAAACTTACTCGTGATGTGTGTCCTCAACTAAAGGAGTAGAACCTTTCTTTTCATAGAGAAGTTTTGAAACGCTCTTTTTGTGGAATCTGCAAGTGGATATTTGGCTAGTTTGGAGGATTTCGTTGGAAGCGGGAATTCATACAAATTGCAGACTGCAGCGTTCTGAGAAACATCTTTGTGATGTTTGTATTCAGGACACAGAGTTGAACATTCCCTATCATAGAGCAGGTTGGAATCACTCCTTTTGTAGTATCTGGAAGTGGACATTTGGAGCGCTTTCAGGCCTATGTTGGAAAAGGAAATATCTTCCCATAACAACTAGACAGAAGCATTCTCAGAAACTTATTTGAGATGTGTGTACTCAACTAAGAGAATTGAACCACCGTTTTGAAGGAGCAGTTTTGAAACTCTCTTTTTCTGGAATCTGCAAGTGGATATTTGGCTAGCTTTGGGGATTTCGCTGGAAGCGGGAATACATATAAAAAGCACACAGCAGCGTTCTGAGAAACTGCTTTCTGATGTTTGCATTCAAGTCAAAAGTTGAACACTCCCTTTCATAGAGCAGTCCTGAAACACCCCTTTTGTAGTATCTGGAACTGGACTTTTGGAGCGATTTCAGGGCTAAGGTGAAAAAGGAAATATCTTCCCATAAAAACTGGACAGAAGCATTCTCAGAAACTTGTTTATGCTGTATCTACTCAACTAACAAAGTTGAACCTTTCTTTTGATAGAGCAGTTTTGAAATGGTCTTTTTGTGGAATCTGCAAGTGGATATTTGGCTAGTTTTGAGGATTTCGTTGGAAGCGGGAATTCATACAAATTGCAGACTGCAGCGTTCTGAGAAACATCTTTGTGATGTTTGTATTCAGGACAGAGAGTTGAACATTCCCTATCATAGAGCAGGTTGGAATCACTCCTTTTGTAGTATCTGGAAGTGGACATTTGGAGCGCTTTCAGGCCTATGTTGAAAAAGGAAATATCTTCCCATAACAACTAGACACAAGCATTCTCAGAAACTTGTTTGTGATGTGTGCCCTCTACTGACAGAGTTGAACCTTTCTTTTCATGGAGCAGTTTTGAAACACTCTTTTTGTAGAATCTGCAAGAGGATATTTGCATAGCTTTGAGGATTTCGTGGGAAACGGGATTGTCTTCAGGTAAAATCTAGACAGAAGCATTCTCAGAAACTTCTTTGGGATGTTTGCATTCAAGTCACAGAGTAGAACATTCCCTTTGGTAGAGCAGGTTTGAAACACTCTTTTTGTAGTATCTGGAAGTGGACATTTGGAGCGCTTTCAGGCCTATGTTGGAAAGGGAAATATCTTCCCGTAACAACTAGGCAGAAGCATTCTCAGAAACTTATTTGAGATGTGTGTACTCAACTAAGAGAATTGAACCACCGTTTTGAAGGAGCAGTTTTGAAACACTCTTTTTCTGGAATCTGCAAGAGTATATTTGCCTAGCCTTGAGGATTTCGTTGGAAACGGGATTGTCTTCAGAGAAAATCTAGACAGAAGCATTCTCAGAAACTTCTTTGGGATGCTTGCATTCAAGTCACAGAGTAGAACATTCCCTTTGGTAGAGCAGGTTTGAAACACTCTTTTTGTAGTATCTGGAAGTGGACATTTGGAGCGCTTTCAGGCCTACGTTGGAAAAGGAAATATCTTCCCATAACAACTAGACAGAAGCATTCTCAGAAACTAGTTTCTGATGTGTGTCCTCAACTAACACAGTTGAACATTTCTTTAGACAGAACAGTTTTGAAACACTCTTTTTGTGGAATCTGCAAGTGGCTATTTGGCTAGATTTGAGGATTTCGTTGGAAACGGGATTACATATAAAAAAACAGACAGCAGCATTCTCAGAAAGTTCTTTGTGATGATTGCATTCAAGTCACAGAATTGAACATTCCCTTTCACAGAGCAGGTTTGAAACACTCTTTTTGTAGTGTGTGTAAGTGGACATTTGGAGCACTTTCCGGCCTAAGGTGAAAAAGGAAATATCTTCCCTTAAAAACTAGACAGAAGCATTCTCAGAAACTTACTCGTGATGTGTGTCCTCAACTAAAGGAGTAGAACCTTTCTTTTCATAGAGAAGTTTTGAAACGCTCTTTTTGTGGAATCTGCAAGTGGGTATTTGGCTAGTTTTGAGGATTTCGTTGGAAGCGGGAATTCATACAAATTGCAGACTGCAGCGTTCTGAGAAACTGCTTTCTGATGTTTGCATTCAAGTCAAAAGTTGAACACTCCCTTTCATAGAGCAGTCTTGAAACACCCCTTTTGTAGTATCTGGAACTGGACTTTTGGAGCGATTTCAGGGCTAAGGTGAAAAAGGAAATATCTTCCCATAAAAACTGGACAGAAGCATTCTCAGAAACTTGTTTATGCTGTAACTACTCAGCTAACAAGTTGAACCTTTCTTTTGATAGAGCAGTTTTGAAATGCTCTTTTTGTGGAGTCTGCAAGTGGATATTTGGTTAGTTTTGAGGAATTCGTTGGAAGCGGGAATTCATACAAATTGCAGACTGCAGCGTTCTGAGAAACATCTTTGTGATGTTTGTATTCAGGACACAGAGTTGAACATTCCCTATCATAGAGCAGGTTGGAATCACTCCTTTTGTAGTATCTGGAAGTGGACATTTGGAGCGCTTTCAGGCCTATGTTGAAAAAGGAAATATCTTCCCATAACAAGTAGACACAAGCATTCTCAGAAACTTGTTTGTGATGTGTGCCCTCTACTGACAGAGTTGAACCTTTCTTTTCATAGAGCAGTTTTGAAACACTCTTTTTGTAGAATCCGCAAGAGGATATTTGCATAGCTTTGAGGATTTCGTGGGAAACGGGATTGTCTTCAGGTAAAATCTAGACAGAAGCATTCTCAGAAACTTCTTTGGGATGTTTGCATTCAAGTCACAGAGTAGAACATTCCCTTTGGTAGAGTAGGTTTGAAACACTCTTTTTGTAGTATCTGGAAGTGGACATTTGGAGCGCTTTCAGGCCCATGTTGGAAAGGGAAATATCTTCCCGTAACAACTAGGCAGAAGCATTCTCAGAAACTTATTTGAGATGTGTGTACTCAACTAAGAGAATTGAACCACCGTTTTGAAGGAGCAGTTTTGAAACACTCTTTTTCTGGAATCTGCAAGACGATATTTGCCAAGCCTTGAGGGTTTCGTTGGAAACGGGATTGTCTTCAGATCAAA
The DNA here is from genome assembly GCF_000001405.40 of Homo sapiens. Classification (NCBI taxonomy): domain Eukaryota; kingdom Metazoa; phylum Chordata; class Mammalia; order Primates; family Hominidae; genus Homo; species Homo sapiens. Next base: position 18,978,699 of record NC_000018.10, read on the forward strand.
TCTAGACAGAAGCATTCTCAGAAACTTCTTTGGGATGTTTGCATTCAAGTCACAGAGTAGAACATTCCCTTTGGTAGAGCAGGTTTGAAACACTCTTTTTTTAGTATATGGAAGTGGACATTTGGAGCGCTTTCAGGCCTACGTTGGAAAAGGAAATATCTTCCCATAACAACTAGACAGAAGCATTCTCAGAAACTAGTTTCTGATGTGTGTCCTCAACTAACACAGTTGAACTTTTCTTTAGACAGAACAGTTTTGAAACACTCTTTTTGTGGAATCTGCAAGTGGCTATTTGGCTAGATTTGAGGATTTCGTTGGAAACGGGATTACATATAAAAAGCAGACAGCGGCATTCTCAGAAAGTTCTTTGTGATGATTGCATTCAAGTCACAGAATTGAACATTCCCTTTCACAGAGCAGGTTTGAAACACTCTTTTTGTAGTGTGTGTAAGTGGACATTTGGAGCACTTACCGGCCTAAGGTGAAAAAGGAAATATCTTCCCATAAAAACTAGACAGAAGCATTCTCAGAAACTTACTCGTGATGTGTGTCCTCAACTAAAGGAGTAGAACCTTTCTTTTCATAGAGAAGTTTTGAAACGCTCTTTTTGTGGAATCTGCAAGTGGATATTTGGCTAGTTTTGAGGATTTCGTTGGAAGCGGGAATTCATACAAATTGCAGACTGCAGCGTTCTGAGAAACATCTTTGTGATGTTTGTATTCAGGACACAGAGTTGAACATTCCCTATCATAGAGCAGGTTGGAATCACTCCTTTTGTAGTATCTGGAAGTGGACATTTGGAGCGCTTTCAGGCCTATGTTGGAAAAGGAAATATCTTCCCATAACAACTAGACAGAAGCATTCTCAGAAACTTATTTGAGATGTGTGTACTCAACTAAGAGAATTGAACCACCGTTTTGAAGGAGCAGTTTTGAAACACTCTTTTTCTGGAATCTGCAAGTGGATATTTGGCTAGCTTTGGGGATTTCGCTGGAAGCGGGAATACATATAAAAAGCACACAGCAGCGTTCTGAGAAACTGCTTTCTGATGTTTGCATTCAAGTCAAAAGTTGAACACTCCCTTTCATAGAGCAGTCCTGAAACACTCCTTTTGTAGTATCTGGAACTGGACTTTTGGAGCGCTTTCAGGGCTAAGGTGAAAAAGGAAATATCTTCCCATAAAAACTGGACAGAAGCATTCTCAGAAACTTACTCGTATTGTGTGTCCTCAACTAAAGGAGTAGAACCTTTCTTTTCATAGAGAAGTTTTGAAACGCTCTTTTTGTGGAATCTGCAAGTGGATATTTGGCTAGTTTTGAGGATTTCGTTGGAAGCGGGAATTCATACAAATTGCAGACTGCAGCGTTCTGAGAAACTGCTTTCTGATGTTTGCATTCAAGTCAAAAGTTGAACACTCCCTTTCATAGAGCAGTCTTGAAACACCCCTTTTGTAGTATCTGGAACTGGACTTTTGGAGCGATTTCAGGGCTAAGGTGAAAAAGGAAATATCTTCCCATAAAAACTGGACAGAAGCATTCTCAGAAACTTGTTTATGCTGTATCTACTCAACTAACAAAGTTGAACCTTTCTTTTGATAGAGCAGTTTTGAAATGGTCTTTTTGTGGAATCTGCAAGTGGATATTTGGCTAGTTTTGAGGATTTCGTTGGAAGCGGGAATTCATACAAATTGCAGACTGCAGCGTTCTGAGAAACATCTTTGTGATGTTTGTATTCAGGACACAGAGTTGAACATTCCCTATCATAGAGCAGGTTGGAATCACTCCTTTTGTAGTATCTGGAAGTGGACATTTGGAGCGCTTTCAGGCCTATGTTGGAAAGGGAAATATCTTCCCGTAACAACTATGCAGAAGCATTCTCAGAAACTTGTTTGTGATGTGTGCCCTCTACTGACAGAGTTGAACCTTTCTTTTCATAGAGCAGTTTTGAAACACTCTTTTTGTAGAATCTGCAAGAGGATATTTGCATAGCTTTGAGGATTTCGTGGGAAACGGGATTGTCTTCAGGTAAAATCTAGACAGAAGCATTCTCAGAAACTTCTTTGGGATGTTTGCATTCAAGTCACAGAGTAGAACATTCCCTTTGGTAGAGCAGGTTTGAAACACTCTTTTTGTAGTATCTGGAAGTGGACATTTGGAGCGCTTTCAGGCCTACGTTGGAAAAGGAAATATCTTCCCATAACAACTAGACAGAAGCCTTCTCAGAAACTAGTTTCTGATGTGTGTCCTCAACTAACAGAGTTGAACCTTTCTTTTGACAGAACAGTTTTGAAACACTCTTTTTGAGGAATCTGCAAGTGGATATTTGGCTAGATTTGAGGATTTCGTTGGAAACGGGATTACATATAAAAAGCAGACAGCAGCATTCTCAGAAACTTCTTTGTGGTGATTGCATTCAAGTCACAGAACTGAACATTCCCTTTCACAGAGCAGGTTTGAAACACTCTTTTGTAGTGTCTGTAAGTGGACATTTGGAGCGCTTTCCGGCCTCAGGTGAAAAAGGAAATATCTTCCCATAAAAACTAGACAGAAGCATTCTCAGAAACTTACTCGTGATGTGTGTCCTCAACTAAAGGAGTAGAACCTTTCTTTTCATAGAGAAGTTTTGAAACGCTCTTTTTGTGGAATCTGCAAGTGGATATTTGGCTAGTTTTGAGGATTTCGTTGAAATCGGGAATTCATACAAATTGCAGACTGCAGCGTTCTGAGAAACGTCTTTGTGATGTTTGTATTCAGGACACAGAGTTGAACATTCCCTGTCATAGAGCAGGTTGGAATCACTGCTTTTGTCGTATCTGGAAGTGGACGTTTGGAGCGCTTTCAGGACTATGTTGGAAAAGGAAATATCCTCCCATAACAGCTAGACAGAAGCATTCTCAGAAACTTATTTGAGATGTGTGTACTCAACTAAGAGAATTGAACCACCGTTTTGAAGGAGCAGTTTTGAAACACTCTTTTTCTGGAATCTGCAAGTGGATATTTGGCTAGCTTTGGGGATTTCGCTGGAAGCGGGAATACATATAAAAACACACAGCAGCGTTCTGAGAAACTGCTTTCTGATGTTTGCATTCAAGTCAAAAGTTGAACACTCCCTTTCATAGAGCAGTCTTGAAACACCCCTTTTGTAGTATCTGGAACTGGAAATTTGGAGCGCTTTCAGGGCTAAGGTGAAAAAGGAAATATCTTCCCATAAAAACTGGACAGAAGCATTCTCAGAAACTTGTTTATGCTGTATCTACTCAACTAACAAAGTTGAACCTTTCTTTTGATAGAGCAGTTTTGAAATGGTCTTTTTGTGGAATCTGCAAGTGGATATTTGGCTAGTTTTGAGGATTTCGTTGGAAGCGGGAATTCATACAAATTGCAGACTGCAGCGTTCTGAGAAACATCTTTGTGGTGTTTGTATTCAGGACAGAGAGTTGAACATTCCCTATCATAGAGCAGGTTGGAATCACTCCTTTTGTAGTATCTGGAAGTGGACATTTGGAGCGCTTTCAGGCCTATGTTGAAAAAGGAAATATCTTCCCATAACAACTAGACACAAGCATTCTCAGAAACTTGTTTGTGATGTGTGCCCTCTACTGACAGAGTTGAACCTTTCTTTTCATAGAGCAGTTTTGAAACACTCTTTTTGTAGAATCTGCAAGAGGATATTTGCATAGCTTTGAGGATTTCGTGGGAAACGGGATTGTCTTCAGGTAAAATCTAGACAGAAGCATTCTCAGAAACTCCTTTGGGATGTTTGCATTCAAGTCACAGAGTAGAACATTCCCTTTGGTAGAGCAGGTTTGAAACACTCTTTTTTTAGTATATGGAAGTGGACATTTGGAGCGCTTTCAGGCCTACGTTGGAAAAGGAAATATCTTCCCATAACAACTAGACAGAAGCATTCTCAGAAACTAGTTTCTGATGTGTGTCCTCAACTAACACAGTTGAACATTTCTTTAGACAGAACAGTTTTGAAACACTCTTTTTGTGGTATCTGCAAGTGGCTATTTGGCTAGATTTGAGGATTTCGTTGGAAACGGGATTACATATAAAAAGCAGACAGCAGCATTCTCAGAAAGTTCTTTGTGATGATTGCATTCAAGTCACAGAATTGAACATTCCCTTTCACAGAGCAGGTTTGAAGCACTCTTTTTGTAGTGTGTGTAAGTGGACATTTGGAGCACTTTCCGGCCTAAGGTGAGAAAGGAAATATCTTCCCATAAAAACTAGACAGAAGCATTCTCAGAAACTTACTCGTGATGTGTGTCCTCAACTAAAGAAGTAGAACCTTTCTATTCATAGAGAAGTTTTGAAACGCTCTTTTTGTGGAATCTCCAAGTGGATATTTGGCTAGTTTTGAGGATTTCGTTGGAAGCGGGAATTCATACAAATTGCAGACTGCAGCGTTCTGAGAAACATCTTTGTGATGTTTGTATTCAGGACACAGAGTTGAACATTCCCTATCATAGAGCAGGTTGGAATCACTCCTTTTGTAGTATCTGGAAGTGGACATTTGGAGCGCTTTCAGGCCTATGTTGGAAAAGGAAATATCTTCCCATAACAACTAGACAGAAGCATTCTCAGAAACTTATTTGAGATGTGTGTACTCAACTAAGAGAATTGAACCACCGTTTTGAAGGAGCAGTTTTGAAACTCTCTTTTTCTGGAATCTGCAAGTGGATATTTGGCTAGCTTTGGGGATTTCGCTGGAAGCGGGAATACATATAAAAAGCACACAGCAGCGTTCTGAGAAACTGCTTTCTGATGTTTGCATTCAAGTCAAAAGTTGAACACTCCCTTTCATAGAGCAGTCTTGAAACACCCCTTTTGTAGTATCTGGAACTGGACTTTTGGAGCGATTTCAGGGCTAAGGTGAAAAAGGAAATATCTTCCCATAAAAACTGGACAGAAGCATTCTCAGAAACTTGTTTATGCTGTATCTACTCAACTAACAAAGTTGAACCTTTCTTTTGATAGAGCAGTTTTGAAATGGTCTTTTTGTGGAATCTGCAAGTGGATATTTGGCTAGTTTTGAGGATTTCGTTGGAAGCGGGAATTCATACAAATTGCAGACTGCAGCGTTCTGAGAAACATCTTTGTGATGTTTGTATTCAGGACACAGAGTTGAACATTCCCTATCATAGAGCAGGTTGGAATCACTCCTTTTGTAGTATCTGGAAGTGGACATTTGGAGCGCTTTCAGGCCTATTTTGGAAAGGGAAATATCTTCCCGTAACAACTATGCAGAAACATTCTCAGAAACTTGTTTGTGATGTGTGCCCTCTACTGACAGAGTTGAACCTTTCTTTTCATAGAGCAGTTTCGAAACACTCTTTTTGTAGAATCTGCAAGAGGATATTTGCATGGCTTTGAGGATTTCGTGGGAAACGGGATTGTCTTCAGGTAAAATCTAGACAGAAGCATTCTCAGAAACTTCTTTGGGATGTTTGCATTCAAGTCACAGAGTAGAACATTCCCTTTGGTAGAGCAGGTTTGAAACACTCTTTTTGTAGTATCTGGAAGTGGACATTTGGAGCGCTTTCAGGCCCATGTTGGAAAGGGAAATATCTTCCCGTAACAACTAGGCAGAAGCATTCTCAGAAACTTATTTGAGATGTGTGTACTCAACTAAGAGAATTGAACCACCGTTTTGAAGGAGCAGTTTTGAAACACTCTTTTTCTGGATTCTGCAAGAATATATTTGCCTAGCCTTGAGGATTTCGTTGGAAACGGGATTGTCTTCAGATAAAATCTAGACAGAAGCATTCTCAGAAACTTCTTTGGGATGTTTGCATTCAAGTCACAGAGTAGAACATTCCCTTTGGTAGAGCAGGTTTGAAACACTCTTTTTTTAGTATATGGAAGTGGACATTTGGAGCGCTTTCAGGCCTACGTTGGAAAAGGAAATATCTTCCCATAACAACTAGATAGAAGCATTCTCAGAAACTAGTTTCTGATGTGTGTCCTCAAATAACACAGTTGAACTTTTCTTTACACAGAACAGTTTTGAAACACTCTTTTTGTGGAATCTGCAAGTGGATATTTGGCTAGATTTGAGGATTTCGTTGGAAACGGGATTACATATAAAAAGCAGACAGCAGCATTCTCAGAAAGTTCTTTGTGATGATTGCATTCAAGTCACAGAATTGAACATCCCCTTTCACAGAGCAGGTTTGAAACACTCTTTTTGTAGTGTGTGTAAGTGGACATTTGGAGCGCTTTCCGGCCTAAGGTGAAAAAGGAAATATCTTCCCATAAAAACTAGACAGAGAAGCATTCTCAGAAACTTACTCGTGATGTGTGTCCTCAACTAAAGGAGTAGAACCTTTCTATTCATAGAGAAGTTTTGAAACGCTCTTTTTGTGGAATCTCCAAGTGGATATTTGGCTAGTTTTGAGGATTTCGTTGGAAGCGGGAATTCATACAAATTGCAGACTGCAGCGTTCTGAGAAACATCTTTGTGATGTTTGTATTCAGGACACAGAGATGAACATTCCCTATCATAGAGCAGGTTGGAATCACTCCTTTTGTAGTATCTGGAAGTGGACATTTGGAGCGCTTTCAGGCCTATGTTGAAAAAGGAAATATCTTCCCATAACAACTAGACACAAGCATTCTCAGAAACTTATTTGAGATGTGTGTACTCAACTAAGAGAATTGAACCACCGTTTTGAAGGAGCAGTTTTGAAACACTCTTTTTCTGGAATCTGCAAGTGGATATTTGGCTAGCTTTGGGGGATTTCGCTGGAAGCGGGAATACATATAAAAAGCACACAGCAGCGTTCTGAGAAACTGCTTTCTGATGTTTGCATTCAAGTCAAAAGTTGAACACTCCCTTTCATAGAGCAGTCCTGAAACACCCCTTTTGTAGTATCTGGAACTGGACTTTTGGAGCGATTTCAGGGCTAAGGTGAAAAAGGAAATATCTTCCCATAAAAACTGGACAGAAGCATTCTCAGAAACTTGTTTATGCTGTATCTACTCAACTAACAAAGTTGAACCTTTCTTTTGATAGAGCAGTTTTGAAATGGTCTTTTTGTGGAATCTGCAAGTGGATATTTGGCTAGTTTTGAGGATTTCGTTGGAAGCGGGAATTCATACAAATTGCAGACTGCAGCGTTCTGAGAAACATCTTTGTGATGTTTGTATTCAGGACAGAGAGTTGAACATTCCCTATCATAGAGCAGGTTGGAATCACTCCTTTTGTAGTATCTGGAAGTGGACATTTGGAGCGCTTTCAGGCCTATGTTGAAAAAGGAAATATCTTCCCATAACAACTAGACACAAGCATTCTCAGAAACTTGTTTGTGATGTGTGCCCTCTACTGACAGAGTTGAACCTTTCTTTTCATAGAGCAGTTTTGAAACACTCTTTTTGTAGAATCTGCAAGAGGATATTTGCATAGCTTTGAGGATTTCGTGGGAAACGGGATTGTCTTCAGGTAAAATCTAGACAGAAGCATTCTCAGAAACTTCTTTGGGATGTTTGCATTCAAGTCACAGAGCAGAACATTCCCTTTGGTAGAGCAGGTTTGAAACACTCTTTTTGTAGTATCTGGAAGTGGACATTTGGAGCGCTTTCAGGCCTATGTTGGAAAGGGAAATATCTTCCCGTAACAACTAGGCAGAAGCATTCTCAGAAACTTATTTGAGATGTGTGTACTCAACTAAGAGAATTGAACCACCGTTTTGAAGGAGCAGTTTTGAAACACTCTTTTTCTGGAATCTGCAAGAGGATATTTGCCTAGCCTTGAGGATTTCGTTGGAACGGGATTGTCTTCAGATCAAATCTAGACAGAAGCATTCTCAGAAACTTCTTTGGGATGTTTGCATTCAAGTCACAGAGTAGAACATTCCCTTTGGTAGAGCAGGTGTGAAACACTCTTTTTTTAGTATATGGAAGTGGACATTTGGAGCGCTTTCAGGCCTACTTTGGAAAACGAAATATCTTCCCATAACAACTAGACAGAAGCATTCTCAGAAACTAGTTTCTGATGTGTGTCCTCAACTAACACAGTTGAACATTTCTTTAGACAGAACAGTTTTGAAACACTCTTTTTGTGGAATCTGCAAGTGGCTATTTGGCTAGATTTGAGGATTTCGTTGGAAACGGGATTACATATAAAAAGCAGTCAGCAGCATTCTCAGAAACTTCTTTGTGATGATTGCATTCAAGTCACAGAATTGAACATTCCCTTTCACAGAGCAGGTTTGAAACACTCTTTTTGTAGTGTGTGTAAGTGGACATTTGGAGCACTTTCCGGCCTAAGGTGAAAAAGGAAATATCTTCCCATAAAAACTAGACAGAAGCATTCTCAGAAACTTACTCGTGCATGTGTGTCCTCAACTAAAGGAGTAGAACCTTTCTTTTCATAGAGAAGTTTTGAAACGCTCTTTTTGTGGAATCTGCAAGTGGATATTTGGCTAGTTTTGAGGATTTCGTTGGAAGCGGGAATTCATACAAATTGCAGACTGCAGCGTTCTGAGAAACATCTTTGTGATGTTTGTATTCAGGACACAGAGTTGAACATTCCCTATCATAGAGCAGGTTTGAATCACTCCTTTTGTAGTATCTGGAAGTGGACATTTGGAGCGCTTTCAGGCCTATGTTGGAAAAGGAAATATCTTCCCATAACAACTAGACAGAAGCATTCTCAGAAACTTATTTGAGATGTGTGTACTCAACTAAGAGAATTGAACCACCGTTTTGAAGGAGCAGTTTTGAAACACTCTTTTTCTGGAATCTGCAAGTGGATATTTGGCTAGCTTTGGGGATTTCGCTGGAAGCGGGAATACATATAAAAAGCACACAGCAGCGTTCTGAGAAACTGCTTTCTGATGTTTGCATTCAAGTCAAAAGTTGAACACTCCCTTTCATAGAGCAGTCCTGAAACACTCCTTTTGTAGTATCTGGAACTGGACTTTTGGAGCGCTTTCAGGGCTAAGGTGAAAAAGGAAATATCTTCCCATAAAAACTGGACAGAAGCATTCTCAGAAACTTGTTTATGCTGTATCTACTCAACTAACAAAGTTGAACCTTTCTTTTGATAGAGCAGTTTTGAAATGCTCTTTTTGTGGAATCTGCAAGTGGATATTTGGCTAGTTTTGAGGATTTCGTTGGAAGCGGGAATTCATACAAATTGCAGACTGCAGCGTTCTGAGAAACATCTTTGTGATGTTTGTATTCAGGACACAGAGTTGAACATTCCCTATCATAGAGCAGGTTGGAATCACTCCTTTTGTAGTATCTGGAAGTGGACATTTGGAGCGCTTTCAGGCCTATTTTGGAAAGGGAAATATCTTCCCGTAACAACTATGCAGAAACATTCTCAGAAACTTGTTTGTGATGTGTGCCCTCTACTGACAGAGTTGAACCTTTCTTTTCATAGAGCAGTTTCGAAACACTCTTTTTGTAGAATCTGCAAGAGGATATTTGCATAGCTTTGAGGATTTCGTGGGAAACGGGATTGTCTTCAGGTAAAATCTAGACAGAAGCATTCTCAGAAACTTCTTTGGGATGTTTGCATTCAAGTCACAGAGTAGAACATTCCCTTTGGTAGAGTAGGTTTGAAACACTCTTTTTGTAGTATCTGGAAGTGGACATTTGGAGCGCTTTCAGGCCCATGTTGGAAAGGGAAATATCTTCCCGTAACAACTAGGCAGAAGCATTCTCAGAAACTTATTTGAGATGTGTGGACTCAACTAAGAGAATTGAACCACCGTTTTGAAGGAGCAGTTTTGAAACCCTCTTTTTCTGGAATCTGCAAGAGTATATTTGCCTAGCCTTGAGGATTTCGCTGGAAACGGGATTGTCTTCAGATAAAATCTAGACAGAAGCATTCTCAGAAACTTCTTTGGGATGCTTGCATTCAAGTCACAGAGTAGAACATTCCCTTTGGTAGAGCAGGTTTGAAACACTCTTTTTGTAGTATCTGGAAGTGGACATTTGGAGCGCTTTCAGGCCTACGTTGGAAAAGGAAATATTCTTCCCATAACAACTAGACAGAAGCATTCTCAGAAACTTATTTGAGATGTGTGTACTCAACTAAGAGAATTGAACCACCGTTTTGAAGGAGCAGTTTTGAAACACTCTTTTTCTGGAATCTGCTAGAGTATATTTGCCTAGCTTTGAGGATTTCGTTGGAAACGGGATTGTCTTCAGCTAAAATCTAGACAGAAGCATTCTCAGAAACTTCTTTTGGATGTTTCTATTCAAGTCACAGAGTAGAACATTCCCTTTGGTAGAGCAGGTTTGAAACACTCTTTTTTTAGTATATGGAAGTGGACATTTGGAGCGCTTTCAGGCCTATGTTGGAAAGGGAAATATCTTCCCGTAACAACTAGGCAGAAGCATTCTCAGCAAACTTATTTGACATGTGTGTACTCAACTAAGAGAATTGAACCACCCTTTTGAAGGAGCAGTTTTGAAACACTCTTTTTCTGGAATCTGCAAGAGTATATTTGCCTAGCTTTGAGGATTTCGTTGGAAACGGGATTGTCTTCAGATAAAATCTAGACAGAAGCATTCTCAGAAACTTCTTTGGGATGTTTGCATTCAATTCACAGAGTAGAACATTCCCTTTGTTAGAGCAGGTTTGAAACACTCTTTTTTTAGTATATGGAAGTGGACATTTGGAGCGCTTTCAGGCCTACGTTGGAAAAGGAAATATCTTCCCATAACAACTAGACAGAAGCATTCTCAGAAACTAGTTTCTGATGTGTGTCCTCAACTAACACAGTTGAACATTTCTTTAGACAGAACAGTTTTGAAACACTCTTTTTGTGGAATCTGCAAGTGGTTATTTGGCTAGATTTGAGGATTTCTTTGGAAACGGGATTACATATAAAAAGCTGACAGCAGCATTCTCAGAAAGTTCTTTGTGATGATTGCATTCAAGTCACAGAATTGAACATTCCCTTTCACAGAGCAGGTTTGAAACACTCTTTTTGTAGTGTGTGTAAGTGGACATTTGGAGCACTTTCCGGCCTAAGGTGAAAAAGGAAATATCTTCCCATAAAAACTAGACAGAAGCATTCTCAGAAACTTACTCGTGATGTGTGTCCTCAACTAAAGGAGTAGAACCTTTCTTTTCATAGAGAAGTTTTGAAACGCTCTTTTTGTGGAATCTGCAAGTGGATATTTGGCTAGTTTTGAGGATTTCGTTGGAAGCGGGAATTCATACAAACTGCAGACTGCAGCGTTCTGAGAAACATCTTTGTGATGTTTGTATTCAGGACACAGAGATGAACATTCCCTATCATAGAGCAGGTTGGAATCACTCCTTTTGTAGTATCTGGAAGTGGACATTTGGAGCGCTTTCAGGCCTATGTTGAAAAAGGAAATATCTTCCCATAACAACTAGACACAAGCATTCTCAGAAACTTATTTGAGATGTGTGTACTCAACTAAGAGAATTGAACCACCGTTTTGAAGGAGCAGTTTTGAAACTCTCTTTTTCTGGAATCTGCAAGTGGATATTTGGCTAGCTTTGGGGATTTCGCTGGAAGCGGGAATACATATAAAAAGCACACAGCAGCTTTCTGAGAAACTGCTTTCTGATGTTTGCATTCAAGTCAAAAGTTGAACACTCCCTTTCATAGAGCAGTCTTGAAACACCCCTTTTGTAGTATCTGGACCTGGACTTTTGGAGCGATTTCAGGGCTAAGGTGAAAAAGGAAATATCTTCCCATAAAAACTGGACAGAAGCATTCTCAGAAACTTGGTTATGCTGTATCTACTCAACTAACAAAGTTGAACCTTTCTTTTGATAGAGCAGTTTTGAAATGGTCTTTTTGTGGAATCTGCAAGTTTATATTTGGCTAGTTTTGAGGATTTCGTTGGAAGCGGGAATTCATACAAATTGCAGACTGCAGCGTTCTGAGAAACATCTTTGTGATGTTTGTATTCAGGACACAGAGTTGAACATTCCCTATCATAGAGCAGGTTGGAATCACTCCTTTTGTAGTATCTGGAAGTGGACATTTGGAGCGCTTTCAGGCCTATTTTGGAAAGGGAAATATCTTCCCGTAACAACTATGCAGAAGCATTCTCAGAAACTTGTTTGTGATGTGTGCCCTCTACTGACAGAGTTGAACCTTTCTTTTCATAGAGCAGTTTTGAAACACTCTTTTTGTAGAATCTGCAAGAGGATATTTGCATAGCTTTGAGGATTTCGTGGGAAACGGGATTGTCTTCAGGTAAAATCTAGACAGAAGCATTCTCAGAAACTTCTTTGGGATGTTTGCATTCAAGTCACAGAGTAGAACATTCCCTTTGGTAGAGCAGGTTTGAAACACTCTTTTTGTAGTATCTGGAAGTGGACATTTGGAGCGCTTTCAGGCCTATGTTGGAAAGGGAAATATCTTCCCGTAACAACTAGGCAGAAGCATTCTCAGAAACTTATTTGAGATGTGTGTACTCAACTAAGAGAATTGAACCACCGTTTTGAAGGAGCAGTTTTGAAACACTCTTTTTCTGGAATCTGCAAGAGTATATTTGCCTAGCCTTGAGGATTTCGTTGGAAACGGGATTGTATTCAGATAAAATCTAGACAGAAGCATTCTCAGAAACTTCTTTGGGATGTTTGCATTCAAGTCACAGAGTAGAACATTCCCTTTGGTAGAGCAGGTTTGAAACACTCTTTTTTTAGTATATGGAAGTGGACATTTTGATCGCTTTCAGGCCTACGTTGGAAAAGGAAATATCTTCCCATAACAACTAGACAGAAGCATTCTCAGAAACTAGTTTCTGATGTGTGTCCTCAACTAACACAGTTGAACATTTCTATAGACAGAACAGTTTTGAAACACTCTTTTTGTGGAATCTGCAAGTGGCTATTTGGCTAGATTTGAGGATTTCGTTGGAAACGGGATTACATATAAAAAGCAGTCAGCAGCATTCTCAGAAAGTTCTTTGTGATGATTGCATTCAAGTCACAGAATTGAACATTCCCTTTCACAGAGCAGGTTTGAAACACTCTTTTTGTAGTGTGTGTAAGTGGACATTTGGAACCCTTACCGGCCTAAGGTGAAAAAGGAAATATCTTCCCATAAAAACTAGACAGAAGCATTCTCAGAAACTTACTCGTGATGTGTGTCCTCAACTAAAGGAGTAGAACCTTTCTTTCATAGAGAAGTTTTGAAACGCTCTTTTTGTGGAATCTGCAAGTGGATATTTGGCTAGTTTGGAGGATTTCGTTGGAAGCGGGAATTCATACAAATTGCAGACTGCAGCGTTCTGAGAAACATCTTTGTGATGTTTGTATTCAGGACACAGAGTTGAACATTCCCTATCATAGAGCAGGTTGGAATCACTCCTTTTGTAGTATCTGGAAGTGGACATTTGGAGCGCTTTCAGGCCTATGTTGGAAAAGGAAATATCTTCCCATAACAACTAGACAGAAGCATTCTCAGAAACTTATTTGAGATGTGTGTACTCAACTAAGAGAATTGAACCACCGTTTTGAAGGAGCAGTTTTGAAACTCTCTTTTTCTGGAATCTGCAAGTGGATATTTGGCTAGCTTTGGAGATTTCGCTGGAAGCGGGAATACATATAAAAAGCACACAGCAGCGTTCTGAGAAACTGCTTTCTGATGTTTGCATTCAAGTCAAAAGTTGAACACTCCCTTTCATAGAGCAGTCTTGAAACACCCCTGTTGTAGTATCTGGAACTGGACTTTTGGAGCGATTTCAGGGCTAAGGTGAAAAAGGAAACATCTTCCCATAAAAACTGGACAGAAGCATTCTCAGAAACTTATTTGAGATGTGTGTACTCAACTAAGAGAATTGAACCACCGTTTTGAAGGAGCAGTTTTGAAACTCTCTTTTTCTGGAATCTGCAAGTGGATATTTGGCTAGCTTTGGGGATTTCGCTGGAAGCGGGAATACATATAAAAAGCACACAGCAGCGTTCTGAGAAACTGCTTTCTGATGTTTGCATTCAAGTCAAAAGTTGAACACTCCCTTTCATAGAGCAGTCTTGAAACACCCCTTTTGTAGTATCTGGAACTGGACTTTTGGAGCGATTTCAGGGCTAAGGTGAAAAAGGAAATATCTTCCCATAAAAACTGGACAGAAGCATTCTCAGAAACTTGGTTATGCTGTATCTACTCAACTAACAAAGTTTAACCTTTCTTTTGATAGAGCAGTTTTGAAATGGTCTTTTTGTGGAATCTGCAAGTGGATATTTGGCTAGTTTTGAGGATTTCGTTGGAAGCGGGAATTCATACAAATTGCAGACTGCAGCGTTCTGAGAAACATCTTTGTGATGTTTGTATTCAGGACACAGAGTTGAACATTCCCTATCATAGAGCAGGTTGGAATCACTCCTTTTGTAGTATCTGGAAGTGGACATTTGGAGCGCTTTCAGGCCTATTTTGGAAAGGGAAATATCTTCCCGTAACAACTATGCAGAAGCATTCTCAGAAACTTGTTTGTGATGTGTGCCCTCTACTGACAGAGTTGAACCTTTCTTTTCATAGAGCAGTTTTGAAACACTCTTTTTGTAGAATCTGCAAGAGGATATTTGCATAGCTTTGAGGATTTCGTGGGAAACGGGATTGTCTTCAGGTAAAATCTAGACAGAAGCATTCTCAGAAACTTCTTTGTGATGTTTGCATTCAAGTCACAGAGTAGAACATTCCCTTTGGTATAGCAGGTTTGAAACCCTCTTTTTGTACTATCTGGAAGTGGACATTTGGAGCGCTATCAGGCCCATGTTGGAAAGGGAAATATCTTCCCGTAACAACTAGGCAGAAGCATTCTCAGAAGCTTATTTGAGATGTGTGTACTCAACTAAGAGAATTGAACCACCGTTTTGAAGGAGCAGTTTTGAAACACTCTTTTTCTGGAATCTGCAAGAGTATATTTGCCTAGCCTTGAGGATTTCGTTGGAAACGGGATTGTCTTCAGATAAAATCTAGACAGAAGCATTCTCAGAAACTTCTTTGGGATGTTTGCATTCAAGTCACAGAGTAGAACATTCCCTTTGGTAGAGCAGGTTTGAAACACTCTTTTTTTAGTATATGGAAGTGGACATTTGGAGCGCTTTCAGGCCTACGTTGGAAAAGGAAATATCTTCCCATAACAACTAGACACAAGCATTCTCAGAAACTTGTTTGTGATGTGTGCCCTCTACTGACAGAGTTGAACCTTTCTTTTCATAGAGCAGTTTTGAAACACTCTTTTTGTAGAATCTGCAAGAGGATATTTGCATAGCTTTGAGGTTTTCGTGGGAAACGGGATTGTCTTCAGGTAAAATCTAGACAGAAGCATTCTCAGAAACTTCTTTGGGATGTTTGCATTCAAGTCACAGAGCAGAACATTCCCTTTGGTAGAGCAGGTTTGAAACACTCTTTTTGTAGTATCTGGAAGTGGACATTTGGAGCGCTTTCAGGCCTATGTTGGAAAGGGAAATATCTTCCCGTAACAACTAGGCAGAAGCATTCTCAGAAACTTATTTGAGATGTGTGTACTCAACTAAGAGAATTGAACCACCGTTTTGAAGGAGCAGTTTTGAAACACTCTTTTTCTGGAATCTGCAAGAGTATATTTGCCTAGCCTTGAGGATTTCGTTGGAAACGGGATTGTCTTCAGATCAAATCTAGACAGAAGCATTCTCAGAAACTTCTTTGGGATGTTTGCATTCATGTCACAGAGTAGAACATTCCCTTTGGTAGAGCAGGTTTGAAACACTCTTTTTTTAGTATATGGAAGTGGACATTTGGAGCGCTTTCAGGCCTACGTTGGAAAAGGAAATATCTTCCCATAACAACTAGACAGAAGCATTCTCAGAAACTAGTTTCTGATGTGTGTCCTCAACTAACACAGTTGAACATTTCTTTAGACAGAACAGTTTTGAAACACTCTTTTTGTGGAATCTGCAAGTGGCTATTTGGCTAGATTTGAGGATTTCGTTGGAAACGGGATTACATATAAAAAGCAGTCAGCAGCATTCTCAGAAAGTTCTTTGTGATGATTGCATTCAAGTCACAGAAATTGAACATTCCCTTTCACAGAGCAGGTTTGAAACACTCTTTTTGTAGTGTGTGTAAGTGGACATTTGGAGCGCTTTCCGGCCTAAGGTGAAAAAGGAAATATCTTCCCATAAAAACTAGACAGAAGCATTCTCAGAAACTTACTCGTGATGTGTGTCCTCAACTAAAGGAGTAGAACCTTTCTTTTCATAGAGAAGTTTTGAAACGCTCTTTTTGTGGAATCTGCAAGTGGATATTTGGCTAGTTTTGAGGATTTCGTTGGAAGCGGGAATTCATACAAATTGCAGACTGCAGCGTTCTGAGAAACATCTTTGTGATGTTTGTATTCAGGACACAGAGTTGAACATTCCCTATCATAGAGCAGGTTTGAATCACTCCTTTTGTAGTATCTGGAAGTGGACATTTGGAGCGCTTTCAGGCCTATGTTGGAAAAGGAAATATCTTCCCATAACAACTAGACAGAAGCATTCTCAGAAACTTATTTGAGATGTGTGTACTCAACTAAGAGAATTGAACCACCGTTTTGAAGGAGCAGTTTTGAAACTCTCTTTTTCTGGAATCTGCAAGTGGATATTTGGCTAGCTTTGGGGATTTCGCTGGAAGCGGGAATACATATAAAAAGCACACAGCAGCGTTCTGAGAAACTGCTTTCTGATGTTTGCATTCAAGTCAAAAGTTGAACACTCCCTTTCATAGAGCAGTCTTGAAACACCCCTTTTGTAGTATCTGGAACTGGACTTTTGGAGCGATTTCAGGGCTAAGGTGAAAAAGGAAATATCTTCCCATAAAAACTGGACAGAAGCATTCTCAGAAACTTGGTTATGCTGTATCTACTCAACTAACAAAGTTGAACCTTTCTTTTGATAGAGCAGTTTTGAAATGGTCTTTTTGTGGAATCTGCAAGTGGATATTTGGCTAGTTTTGAGGATTTCGTTGGAAGCGGGAATTCATACAAATTGCAGACTGCAGCGTTCTGAGAAACATCTTTGTGATGTTTGTATTCAGGACACAGAGTTGAACATTCCCTATCATAGAGCAGGTTGGAATCACTCCTTTTGTAGTATCTGGAAGTGGACATTTGGAGCGCTTTCAGGCCTATTTTGGAAAGGGAAATATCTTCCCGTAACAACTATGCAGAAGCATTCTCAGAAACTTGTTTGTGATGTGTGCCCTCTACTGACAGAGTTGAACCTTTCTTTTCATAGAGCAGTTTTGAAACACTCTTTTTGTAGAATCCGCAAGAGGATATTTGCATAGCTTTGAGGATTTCGTGGGAAACGGGATTGTCTTCAGGTAAAATCTAGACAGAAGCGTTCTCAGAAACTTCTTTGGGATGTTTGCATTCAAGTCACAGAGTAGAACATTCCCTTTGGTAGAGCAGGTTTGAAACACTCTTTTTGTAGTATCTGGAAGTGGACATTTGGAGCGCTTTCAGGCCCATGTTGGAAAGGGAAATATCTTCCCGTAACAACTAGGCAGAAGCATTCTCAGACACTTATTTGAGATGTGTGTACTCAACTAAGAGAATTGAACCACCGTTTTGAAGGAGCAGTTTTGAAACACTCTTTTTCTGGAATCTGCAAGAGTATATTTGCCTAGCCTTGAGGATTTCGTTGGAAACGGGATTGTCTTCAGATAAAATCTAGACAGAAGCATTCTCAGAAACTTCTTTGGGATGTTTGCATTCAAGTCACAGAGTAGAACATTCCCTTTGGTAGAGCAGGTTTGAAACACTCTTTTTTTAGTATATGGAAGTGGACAATTGGAGCGCTTTCAGGCCTAGGTTTGAAAAGGAAATATCTTCCCATAACAACTTGACAGAAGCATTCTCAGAAATTAGTTTCTGATGTGTGTCCTCAACTAACACAGTTGTACATTTCTTTAGACAGAACAGTTTTGAAACACTCTTTTTGTGGAATCTGCAAGTGGATATTGGGCTAGATTTGAGGATTTCGTTGGAAACGGGATTACATATAAAAAGCAGTCAGCAGCATTCTCAGAAAGTTCTTTGTGATGATTGCATTCAAGTCACAGAATTGAACATTCCCTTTCACAGAGCAGGTTTGAAACACTCTTTTTGTAGTGTGTGTAAGTGGACATTTGGAGCGCTTTCCGGCCTAAGGTGAAAAAGGAAATATCTTCCCATAAAAACTAGACAGAAGCATTCTCAGAAACTTACTCGTGATGTGTGTCCTCAACTAAAGGAGTAGAACCTTTCTTTTCATAGAGAAGTTTTGAAACGCTCTTTTTGTGGAATCTGCAAGTGGATATTTGGCTAGTTTTGAGGATTTCCTTGGAAGCGGGAATTCATACAAATTGCAGACTGCAGCGTTCTGAGAAACATCTTTGTGATGTTTGTATTCAGGACACAGAGTTGAACATTCCCTATCATAGAGCAGGTTTGAATCACTCCTTTTGTAGTATCTGGAAGTGGACATTTGGAGCGCTTTCAGGCCTATGTTGGAAAAGGAAATATCTTCCCATAACAACTAGACAGAAGCATTCTCAGAAACTTATTTGAGATGTGTGTACTCAACTAAGAGAATTGAACCACCGTTTTGAAGGAGCAGTTTTGAAACACTCTTTTTCTGGAATCTGCAAGTGGATATTTGGCTAGCTTTGGGGATTTCGCTGGAAGCGGGAATACATATAAAAAGCACACAGCAGCGTTCTGAGAAACTGCTTTCTGATGTTTGCATTCAAGTCAAAAGTTGAACACTCCCTTTCATAGTGCAGTCCTGAAACACTCCTTTTGTAGTATCTGGAACTGGACTTTTGGAGCGCTTTCAGGGCTAAGGTGAAAAAGGAAATATCTTCCCATAAAAACTGGACAGAAGCATTCTCAGAAACTTGTTTATGCTGTATCTACTCAACTAACAAAGTTGAACCTTTCTTTTGATAGAGCAGTTTTGAAATGCTCTTTTTGTGGAATCTGCAAGTGGATATTTGGCTAGTTTTGAGGATTTCGTTGGAAGCGGGAATTCATACAAATTGCAGACTGCAGCGTTCTGAGAAACATCTTTGTGATGTTTGTATTCAGGACAGAGAGTTGAACATTCCCTATCATAGAGCAGGTTGGAATCACTCCTTTTGTAGTATCTGGAAGTGGACATTTGGAGCGCTTTCAGGCCTATGTTGAAAAAGGAAATATCTTCCCATAACAACTAGACACAAGCATTCTCAGAAACTTGTTTGTGATGTGTGCCCTCTACTGACAGAGTTGAACCTTTCTTTTCATAGAGCAGTTTTGAAACACTCTTTTTGTAGAATCTGCAAGAGGATATTTGCATAGCTTTGAGGATTTCGTGGGAAACGGGATTGTCTTCAGGTAAAATCTAGACAGAAGCATTCTCAGAAACTTCTTTGGGATGTTTGCATTCAAGTCACAGAGTAGAACATTCCCTTTGGTAGAGCAGGTTTGAAACACTCTTTTTGTAGTATCTGGAAGTGGACATTTGGAGCACTTTCAGGCCTATGTTGGAAAGGGAAATATCTTCCCGTAACAACTAGGCAGAAGCATTCTCAGAAACTTATTTGAGATGTGTGTACTCAACTAAGAGAATTGAACCACCGTTTTGAAGGAGCAGTTTTGAAACACTCTTTTTCTGGAATCTGCAAGAGGATATTTGCCTAGCCTTGAGGATTTCGTTGGAAACGGGATTGTCTTCAGATCAAATCTAGACAGAAGCATTCTCAGAAACTTCTTTGGGATGTTTGCATTCAAGTCACAGAGTAGAACATTCCCTTTGGTAGAGCAGGTTTGAAACACTCTTTTTTTAGTGTATGGAAGTGGACATTTGGAGCGCTTTCAGGCCTACGTTGGAAAAGGAAATATCTTCCCATAACAACTAGACAGAAGCATTCTCAGAAACTAGTTTCTGATGTGTGTCCTCAACTAACACAGTTGAACATTTCTTTAGACAGAACAGTTTTGAAACACTCTTTTTGTGGAATCTGCAAGTGGCTATTTGGCTAGATTTGAGGATTTCGTTGGAAACGGGATTACATATAAAAAGCAGACAGCAGCATTCTCAGAAAGTTCTTTGTGATGATTGCATTCAAGTCACAGAATTGAACATTCCCTTTCACAGAGCAGGTTTGAAACACTCTTTTTGTAGTGTGTGTAAGTGGACATTTGGAGCACTTTCCGGCCTAAGGTGAAAAAGGAAATATCTTCCCATAAAAACTAGACAGAAGCATTCTCAGAAACTTACTCGTGATGTGTGTCCTCAACTAAAGGAGTAGAACCTTTCTTTTCATAGAGAAGTTTTGAAACGCTCTTTTTGTGGAATCTGCAAGTGGATATTTGGCTAGTTTTGAGGATTTCGTTGGAAGCGGGAATTCATACAAATTGCAGACTGCAGCGTTCTGAGAAACATCTTTGTGATGTTTGTATTCAGGACACAGAGTTGAACATTCCCTATAATAGAGCAGGTTGGGATCACTGCTTTTGTAGTATCTGGAAGTGGACATTTGGAGCGCTTTCAGGCCTATGTTGGAAAAGGAAATATTTTCCCATAACAACTAGACAGAAGCATTCTCAGAAACTTATTTGAGATGTGTGTACTCAACTAAGAGAATTGAACCACCGTTTTGAAGGAGCAGTTTTGAAACACTCTTTTTCTGGAATCTGCAAGTGGATATTTGGCTAGCTTTGGGGATTTCGCTGGAAGCGGGAATACATATAAAAAGCACACAGCAGCGTTCTGAGAAACTGCTTTCTGATGTTTGCATTCAAGTCAAAAGTTGAACACTCCCTTTCATAGAGCAGTCTTGAAACACCCCTTTTGTAGTATCTGGAACTGGACATTTGGAGAGCTTTCAGGGCTAAGGTGAAAAAGGAAATATCTTCCCATAAAAACTGGACAGAAGCATTCTCAGAAACTTGTTTATGCTGTATCTACTCAACTAACAAAGTTGAACCTTTCTTTTGATAGAGCAGTTTTGAAATGCTCTTTTTGTGGAATCTGCAAGTGGATATTTGGCTAGTTTTGAGGATTTCGCTGGAAGCGGGAATTCATACAAATTGCAGACTGCAGCGTTCTGAGAAACATCTTTGTGATGTTTGTATTCAGGACACAGAGTTGAACATTCCCTATCATAGAGCAGGTTGGAATCACTCCTTTTGTAGTATCTGGAAGTGGACATTTGGAGCGCTTTCAGGCCTATTTTGGAAAGGGAAATATCTTCCCGTAACAACTATGCAGAAGCATTCTCAGAAACTTGTTTGTGATGTGTGCCCTCTACTGACAGAGTTGAACCTTTCTTTTCATAGAGCAGTTTTGAAACACTCTTTTTGTAGAATCCGCAAGAGGATATTTGCATAGCTTTGAGGATTTCGTGGGAAACGGGATTGTCTTCAGGTAAAATCTAGACAGAAGCATTCTCAGAAACTTCTTTGGGATGTTTGCATTCAAGTCACAGAGTAGAACATTCCCTTTGGTAGAGCAGGTTTGAAACACTCTTTTTGTAGTATCTGGAAGTGGACATTTGGAGCGCTTTCAGGCCCATGTTGGAAAGGGAAATATCTTCCCGTAACAACTAGGCAGAAGCATTCTCAGAAACTTATTTGAGATGTGTGTACTCAACTAAGAGAATTGAACCACCGTTTTGAAGGAGCAGTTTTGAAACACTCTTTTTCTGGAATCTGCAAGAGTATATTTGCCTAGCCTTGAGGATTTCGTTGGAAACGGGATTGTCTTCAGATAAAATCTAGACAGAAGCATTCTCAGAAACTTCTTTGGGATGTTTGCATTCAAGTCACAGAGTAGAACATTCCCTTTGGTAGAGCAGGTTTGAAACACTCTTTTTTTAGTATATGGAAGTGGACATTTGGAGCGCTTTCAGGCCTACGTTGGAAAAGGAAATATCTTCCCATAACAACTAGACAGAAGCATTCTCAGAAACTAGTTTGTGATGTGTGTCCTCAACTAACACAGTTGTACATTTCTTTAGACAGAACAGTTTTGAAACACTCTTTTTGTGGAATCTGCAAGTGGATATTGGGCTAGATTTGAGTATTTCGTTGGAAACGGGATTACATATAAAAAGCAGACAGCAGCATTCTCAGAAAGTTCTTTGTGATGATTGCATTCAAGTCACAGAATTGAACATTCCCTTTCACAGAGCAGGTTTGAAACACTCTTTTTGTAGTGTGTGTAAGTGGACATTTGGAGCGCTTTCCGGCCTAAGGTGAAAAAGGACATATCTTCCCATAAAAACTAGACAGAAGCATTCTCAGAAACTTACTCGGTGATGTGTGTCCTCAACTAAAGGAGTAGAACCTTTCTATTCATAGAGAAGTTTTGAAACGCTCTTTTTGTGGAATCTCCAAGTGGATATTTGGCTAGTGTTGAGGATTTCGTTGGAAGCGGGAATTCATACAAATTGCAGACTGCAGCGTTCTGAGAAACATCTTTGTGATGTTTGTATTCAGGACACAGACATGAACATTCCCTATCATAAAGCAGGTTGGAATCACTCCTTTTGTAGTATCTGGAAGTGGACATTTGGAGCGCTTTCAGGCCTATGTTGAAAAAGGAAATATCTTCCCATAACAACTAGACACAAGCATTCTCAGAAACTTATTTGAGATGTGTGTACTCAACTAAGAGAATTGAACCACCGTTTTGAAGGAGCAGTTTTGAAACACTCTTTTTCTGGAATCTGCAAGTGGATATCTGGCTAGCTTTGGGGATTTCGCTGGAAGCGGGAATACATATAAAAAGCACACAGCAGCGTTCTGAGAAACTTCTTTCTGATGTTCGCATTCAAGTCAAAAGTTGAACACTCCCTTTCATAGAGCAGTCTTGAAACTCCCCTTTTGTGGTATCTGGAAGTGGACATTTGGAGTGCTTTCAGGGCTAAGGTGAAAAAGGAAATATCTTCCCATAAAAACTGGACAGAAGCATTCTCAGAAACTTGTTTATGCTGTATCTACTCAGCTAACAAAGTTGAACCTTTCTTTTGATAGAGCAGTTTTGAAATGCTCTTTTTGTGGAGTCTGCAAGTGGATATTTGGTTAGTTTTGAGGATTTCTTTGGAAGCGGGAATTCATACAAATTGCAGACTGCAGCGTTCTGAGAAACATCTTTGTGATGTTTGTATTCAGGACACAGAGTTGAACATTCCCTATCATAGAGCAGGTTTGAATCACTCCTTTTGTAGTATCTGGAAGTGGACATTTGGAGCGCTTTCAGGCCTATGTTGGAAAAGGAAATATCTTCCCATAACAACTAGACAGAAGCATTCTCAGAAACTTATTTGAGATGTGTGTACTCAACTAAGAGAATTGAACCACCGTTTTGAAGGAGCAGTTTTGAAACACTCTTTTTCTGGAATCTGCAAGTGGATATTTGGCTAGCTTTGGGGATTTCGCTGGAAGCGGGAATACGTATAAAAAGCACACAGCAGCGTTCTGAGAAACTGCTTTCTGATGTTTGCATTCAAGTCAAAAGTTGAACACTCCCTTTCATAGTGCAGTCCTGAAACACTCCTTTTGTAGTATCTGGAACTGGACTTTTGGAGCGCTTTCTGGCCTATGTTGAAAAAGGAAATATCTTCCCATAACAACTAGACACAAGCATTCTCAGAAACTTGTTTGTGATGTGTGCCCTCTACTGACAGAGTTGAACCTTTCTTTTCATAGAGCAGTTTTGAAATGCTCTTTTTGTGGAATCTGCAAGTGGATATTTGGCTAGTTTTGAGGATTTCGTTGGAAGCGGGAATTCATACAAATTGCAGACTGCAGCGTTCTGAGAAACTGCTTTCTGATGTTTGCATTCAAGTCAAAAGTTGAACACTCCCTTTCATAGAGCAGTCCTGAAACACCCCTTTTGTAGTATCTGGAACTGGACTTTTGGAGCGATTTCAGGGCTAAGGTGAAAAAGGAAATATCTTCCCATAAAAACTGGACAGAAGCATTCTCAGAAACTTGTTTATGATGTATCTACTCAACTAACAAAGTTGAACCTTTCTTTTGATAGAGCAGTTTTGAAATGCTCTTTTTGTGGAATCTGCAAGTGGATATTTGGCTAGTTTTGAGGATTTCGTTGGAAGCGGGAATTCATACAAATTGCAGACTGCAGCGTTCTGAGAAACATCTTTGTGATGTTTGTATTCAGGACAGAGAGTTGAACATTCCCTATCATAGAGCAGGTTGGAATCACTCCTTTTGTAGTATCTGGAAGTGGACATTTGGAGCGCTTTCAGGCCTATGTTGAAAAAGGAGATATCTTCCCATAACAACTAGACACAAGCATTCTCAGAAACTTGTTTGTGATGTGTGCCCTCTACTGACAGAGTTGAACCTTTCTTTTCATAGAGCAGTTTTGAAACACTCTTTTTGTAGAATCTGCAAGAGGATATTTGCATAGCTTTGAGGATTTCGTGGGAAACGGGATTGTCTTCAGGTAAAATCTAGACAGAAGCATTCTCAGAAACTTCTTTGGGATGTTTGCATTCAAGTCACAGAGTAGAACATTCCCTTTGGTAGAGCAGGTTTGAAACACTCTTTTTGTAGTATCTGGAAGTGGACATTTGGAGCGCTTTCAGGCCTATGTTGGAAAGGGAAATATCTTCCCGTAACAACTAGGCAGAAGCATTCTCAGAAACTTATTTGAGATGTGTGTACTCAACTAAGAGAATTGAACCACCGTTTTGAAGGAGCAGTTTTGAAACACTCTTTTTCTGGAATCTGCAAGAGTATATTTGCCTAGCCTTGAGGATTTCGTTGGAAACGGGATTGTCTTCAGATAAAATCTAGACAGAAGCATTCTCAGAAACTTCTTTGGGATGTTTGCATTCAAGTCACAGAGTAGAACATTCCCTTTGGTAGAGCAGGTTTGAAACACTCTTTTTTTAGTATATGGAAGTGGACATTTGGAGCGCTTTCAGGCCTACGTTGGAAAAGGAAATATCTTCCCATAACAACTAGACAGAGAAGCATTCTCAGAAACTAGTTTCTGATGTGTGTCCTCAACTAACACAGTTGAACTTTTCTTTAGACAGAACAGTTTTGAAACACTCTTTTTGTGGAATCTGCAAGTGGATATTGGGCTAGATTTGAGGATTTCGTTGGAAACGGGATTACATATAAAAAGCAGACAGCAGCATTCTCAGAAAGTTCTTTTTGATGATTGCATTCAAGTCACAGAATTGAACATTCCCTTTCACAGAGCAGGTTTGAAACACTCTTTTTGTAGTGTGTGTAAGTGGACATTTGGAGCGCTTTCCGGCCTAAGGTGAAAAAGGAAATATCTTCCCATAAAAACTAGACAGAAGCATTCTCAGAAACTTACTCGTGATGTGTGTCCTCAACTAAAGGAGTAGAACCTTTCTATTCATAGAGAAGTTTTGAAACGCTCTTTTTGTGGAATCTCCAAGTGGATATTTGGCTAGTTTTGAGGATTTCGTTGGAAGCGGGAATTCATACAAATTGCAGACTGCAGCGTTCTGAGAAACATCTTTGTGATGTTTGTATTCAGGACACAGAGATGAACATTCCCTATCATAGAGCAGGTTGGAATCACTCCTTTTGTAGTATCTGGAAGTGGACATTTGGAGCGCTTTCAGGCCTATGTTGAAAAAGGAAATATCTTCCCATAACAACTAGACACAAGCATTCTCAGAAACTTATTTGAGATGTGTGTACTCAACTAAGAGAATTGAACCACCGTTTTGAAGGAGCAGTTTTGAAACACTCTTTTTCTGGAATCTGCAAGTGGATATTTGGCTAGCTTTGGGGATTTCGCTGGAAGCGGGAATACATATAAAAAGCACACAGCAGCGTTCTGAGAAACTGCTTTCTGATGTTTGCATTCAAGTCAAAAGTTGAACACTCCCTTTCATAGAGCAGTCCTGAAACACTCCTTTTGTAGTATCTGGAACTGGACTTTTGGAGCGCTTTCAGGGCTAAGGTGAAAAAGGAAATATCTTCCCATAAAAACTGGACAGAAGCATTCTCAGAAACTTGTTTATGCTGTATCTACTCAACTAACAAAGTTGAACCTTTCTTTTGATAGAGCAGTTTTGAAATGCTCTTTTTGTGGAATCTGCAAGTGGATATTTGGCTAGTTGTGAGGATTTCGTTGGAAGCTGGAATTCATACAAATTGCAGACTGCAGCGTTCTGAGAAACATCTTTGTGATGTTTGTATTCAGGACACAGAGTTGAACATTCCCTATCGTAGAGCAGGTTGGAATCACTCCTTTTGTAGTATCTGGAAGTGGACATTTGGAGCGCTTTCAGGCCTATGTTGAAAAAGGAAATATCTTCCCAAAACAACTAGACAGAAGCATTCTCAGAAACTTGTTTGTGATGTGTGCCCTCTACTGACAGAGTTGAACCGTTCTTTTCATAGAGCAGTTTCGAAACACTCTTTGTGTGGAATCTGCAAGAGGATATTTGCATAGCTTTGAGGATTTCGTTGGAAACGGGATTGTCTTCAGGTAAAATCTAGACAGAAGCATTCTCAGAAACTTCTTTGGGATGTTTGCATTCAAGTCACAGAGTAGAACATTCCCTTTGGTAGAGCAGGTTTGAAACACTCTTTTTGTAGTATCTGGAAGTGGACATTTGGAGCGCTTTCAGGCCTATGTTGGAAAGGGAAATATCTTCCCGTAACAACTAGGCAGAAGCATTCTCGGAAACTTATTTGAGATGTGTGTACTCAACTAAGAGAATTGAACCACCCTTTTGAAGGAGCAGTTTTGAAACACTCTTTTTCTGGAATCTGCAAGAGTATATTTGCCTAGCTTTGAGGATTCCGTTGGAAACGGGATTGTCTTCAGATCAAATCTAGACAGAAGCATTCTCAGAAACTTCTTTGGGATGTTTGCATTCAAGTCACAGAGTAGAACATTCCCTTTGGTAGAGCAGGTTTGAAACACTCTTTTTTTAGTATATGGAAGTGGACATTTGGAGCGCTTTCAGGCCTACGTTGGAAAAGGAAATATCTTCCCATAACAACTAGACAGAAGCATTCTCAGAAACTAGTTTCTGATGTGTGTCCTCAACTAACACAGTTGAACATTTCTTTAGACAGAACAGTTTTGAAACACTCTTTTTGTGGAATCTGCAAGTGGCTATTTGGCTAGATTTGAGGATTTCGTTGGAAACGGGATTACATATAAAAAGCAGACAGCAGCATTCTCAGAAAGTTCTTTGTGATGATTGCATTCAAGTCACAGAATTGAACATTCCCTTTCACAGAGCAGGTTTGAAACACTCTTTTTGTAGTGTGTGTAAGTGGACATTTGGAGCACTTTCCGGCCTAAGGTGAAAAAGGAAATATCTTCCCATACAAACTAGACAGAAGCATTCTCAGAAACTTACTCGTGATGTGTGTCCTCAACTAAAGGAGTAGAACCTTTCTTTTCATAGAGAAGTTTGGAAACGCTCTTTTTGTGGAATCTGCAAGTGGATATTTGGCTAGTTTTGAGGATTTCGTTGGAAGCGGGAATTCATACAAATTGCAGACTGCAGCGTTCTGAGAAACATCTTTGTGATGTTTGTATTCAGGACACAGAGTTGAACATTCCCTATCATAGAGCAGGTTGGAATCACTCCTTTTGTAGTATCTGGAAGTGGACATTTGGAGCGCTTTCAGGCCTATGTTGAAAAAGGAAATATCTTCCCATAACAACTAGACAGAAGCATTCTCAGAAACTTCTTTGTGATGTGTGCCCTCTACTGACACAGTTGAACCTTTCTTTTCATAGAGCAGTTTCGAAACACTCTTTTTGTAGAATCTGCAAGAGGATATTTGCATAGATTTGAGGATTTCGTGGGAAACGGGATTGTCTTCAGGTAAAATCTAGACAGAAGCATTCTCAGAAACTTCTTTGGGATGTTTGCATTCAAGTCACAGAGTAGAACATTCCCTTTGGTAGAGCAGGTTTGAAACACTCTTTTTGTAGTATCTGGAAGTGGACATTTGGAGCGCTTTCAGGCCCATGTTGGAAAGGGAAATATCTTCCCGTAACAACTAGGCAGAAGCATTCTCAGAAACTTATTTGAGATGTGTGTACTCAACGAAGAGAATTGAACCACCGTTTTGAAGGAGCAGTTTTGAAACCCTCTTTTTCTGGAATCTGCAAGAGTATATTTGCCTAGCCTTGAGGATTTCGTTGGAAACGGGATTGTCTTCAGATAAAATCTAGACAGAAGCATTCTCAGAAACTTCTTTGGGATGTTTGCATTCAAGTCACAGAGTAGAACATTCCCTTTGGTAGAGCAGGTTTGAAACACTCTTTTTTTAGTATATGGAAGTGGACATTTGGAGCGCTTTCAGGCCTACGTTGGAAAAGGAAATATCTTCCCATAACAACTAGACAGAAGCATTCTCAGAAACTAGTTTCTGATGTGTGTCCTCAACTAACACAGTTGAACATTTCTTTAGACAGAACAGTTTTGAAACACTCTTTGTGGAATCTGCAAGTGGCTATTTGGCTAGATTTGAGGATTTCGTTGGAAACGGGATTACATATAAAAAGCAGTCAGCAGCATTCTCAGAAAGTTCTTTGTGATGATTGCATTCAAGTCACAGAATTGAACATTCCCTTTCACAGAGCAGGTTTGAAACACTCTTTTTGTAGTGTGTGTAAGTGGACATTTGGAGCGCTTTCCGGCCTAAGGTGAAAAAGGAAATATCTTCCCATAAAAACTAGACAGAAGCATTCTCAGAAACTTACTCGTGATGTGTGTCCTCAACTAAAGGAGTAGAACCTTTCTATTCGTAGAGAAGTTTTGAAATGCTCTTTTTGTGGAATCTCCAAGTGGATATTTGGCTAGTTTTGAGGATTTCGTTGGAAGCGGGAATTCATACAAATTGCAGACTGCAGCGTTCTGAGAAACATCTTTGTGATGTTTGTATTCAGGACACAGAGAGGAACATTCCCTATC
The DNA here is from genome assembly GCF_000001405.40 of Homo sapiens. Taxonomy (NCBI): domain Eukaryota; kingdom Metazoa; phylum Chordata; class Mammalia; order Primates; family Hominidae; genus Homo; species Homo sapiens. The sequence continues at coordinate 19,007,602 of NC_000018.10, forward strand.
ATAGAGCAGGTTGGAATCACTCCTTTTGTAGTATCTGGAAGTGGACATTTGGAGCGCTTTCAGGCCTATGTTGAAAAAGGAAATATCTTCCCATAACAACTAGACACAAGCATTCTCAGAAACTTGTTTGTGATGTGTGCCCTCTACTGACAGAGTTGAACCTTTCTTTTCATAGAGCAGTTTTGAAACACTCTTTTTGTAGAATCTGCAAGAGGATATTTGCATAGCTTTGAGGATTTCGTGGGAAACGGGATTGTCTTCAGGTAAAATCTAGACAGAAGCATTCTCAGAAACTTCTTTGGGATGTTTGCATTCAAGTCACAGAGCAGAACATTCCCTTTGGTAGAGCAGGTTTGAAACACTCTTTTTGTAGTATCTGGAAGTGGACATTTGGAGCGCTTTCAGGCCTATGTTGGAAAGGGAAATATCTTCCCGTAACAACTAGGCAGAAGCATTCTCAGAAACTTATTTGAGATGTGTGTACTCAACTAAGAGAATTGAACCACCGTTTTGAAGGAGCAGTTTTGAAACACTCTTTTTCTGGAATCTGCAAGAGGATATTTGCCTAGCCTTGAGGATTTCGTTGGAAACGGGATTGTCTTCAGATCAAATGCTAGACAGAAGCATTCTCAGAAACTTCCTTGGGATGTTTGCATTCATGTCACAGAGTAGAACATTCCCTTTGGTAGAGCAGGTTTGAAACACTCTTTTTTAAGTATATGGAAGTGGACATTTGGAGCGCTTTCAGGCCTACGTTGGAAAAGGAAATATCTTCCCATAACAACTAGACAGAAGCATTCTCAGAAACTAGTTTCTGATGTGTGTCCTCAACTAACACAGTTGAACATTTCTTTAGACAGAACAGTTTTGAAACACTCTTTTTGTGGAATCTGCAAGTGGCTATTTGGCTAGATTTGAGGATTTCGTTGGAAACGGGTTTACATATAAAAAGCAGACAGCAGCATTCTCAGAAAGTTCTTTGTGATGATTGCATTCAAGTCACAGAATTGAACATTCCCTTTCACAGAGCAGGTTTGAAACACTCTTTTTGTAGTGTGTGTAAGTGGACATTTGGAGCACTTTCCGGCCTAAGGTGAAAAAGGACATATCTTCCCATAAAAACTAGACAGAAGCATTCTCAGAAACTTACTCGTGATGTGTGTCCTCAACTAAAGGAGTAGAACCTTTCTTTTCATAGAGAAGTTTTGAAACGCTCTTTTTGTGGAATCTGCAAGTGGATATTTGGCTAGTTTTGAGGATTTCGTTGGAAGCGGGAATTCATACAAATTGCAGACTGCAGCGTTCTGAGAAACATCTTTGTGATGTTTGTATTCAGGACACAGAGTTGAACATTCCCTATCATAGAGCAGGTTTGAATCACTCCTTTTGTAGTATCTGGAAGTGGACATTTGGAGCGCTTTCAGGCCTATGTTGGAAAAGGAAATATCTTCCCATAACAACTAGACAGAAGCATTCTCAGAAACTTATTTGAGATGTGTGTACTCAACTAAGAGAATTGAACCACCGTTTTGAAGGAGCAGTTTTGAAACACTCTTTTTCTGGAATCTGCAAGTGGATATTTGGCTAGCTTTGGGGATTTCGCTGGAAGCGGGAATACATATAAAAAGCACACAGCAGCGTTCTGAGAAACTGCTTTCTGATGTTTGCATTCAAGTCAAAAGTTGAACACTCCCTTTCATAGAGCAGTCTTGAAACACCCCTTTTGTAGTATCTGGAACTGGACTTTTGGAGCGATTTCAGGGCTAAGGTGAAAAAGGAAATATCTTCCCATAAAAACTGGACAGAAGCATTCTCAGAAACTTGTTTATGCTGTATCTACTCAACTAACAAAGTTGAACCTTTCTTTTGATAGAGCAGTTTTGAAATGGTCTTTTTGTGGAATCTGCAAGTGGATATTTGGCTAGTTTTGAGGATTTCGTTGGAAGCGGGAATTCATACAAATTGCAGACTGCAGCGTTCTGAGAAACATCTTTGTGATGTTTGTATTCAGGACACAGAGTTGAACATTCCCTATCATAGAGCAGGTTGGAATCACTCCTTTTGTAGTATCTGGAAGTGGACATTTGGAGCGCTTTCAGGCCTATGTTGGAAAAGGAAATATCTTCCCATAACAACTAGACAGAAGCATTCTCAGAAACTTATTTGAGATGTGTGTACTCAACTAAGAGAATTGAACCACCGTTTTGAAGGAGCAGTTTTGAAACTCTCTTTTTCTGGAATCTGCAAGTGGATATTTGGCTAGCTTTGGGGATTTCGCTGGAAGCGGGAATACATATAAAAAGCACACAGCAGCGTTCTGAGAAACTGCTTTCTGATGTTTGCATTCAAGTCAAAAGTTGAACACTCCCTTTCATAGAGCAGTCTTGAAACACCCCTTTTGTAGTATCTGGAACTGGACTTTTGGAGCGATTTCAGGGCTAAGGTGAAAAAGGAAATATCTTCCCATAAAAACTGGACAGAAGCATTCTCAGAAACTTGTTTATGCTGTATCTACTCAACTAACAAAGTTGAACCTTTCTTTTGATAGAGCAGTTTTGAAATGGTCTTTTTGTGGAATCTGCAAGTGGATATTTGGCTAGTTTTTAGGATTTCGTTGGAAGCGGGAATTCATACAAATTGCAGACTGCAGCGTTCTGAGAAACATCTTTGTGATGTTTGTATTCAGGACAGAGAGTTGAACATTCCCTATCATAGAGCAGGTTGGAATCACTCCTTTTGTAGTATCTGGAAGTGGACATTTGGAGCGCTTTCAGGCCTATGTTGAAAAAGGAAATATCTTCCCATAACAACTAGACACAAGCATTCTCAGAAACTTGTTTGTGATGTGTGCCCTCTACTGACAGAGTTGAACCTTTCTTTTCATAGAGCAGTTTTGAAACACTCTTTTTGTAGAATCTGCAAGAGGATATTTGCATAGCTTTGAGGATTTCGTGGGAAACGGGATTGTCTTCAGGTAAAATCTAGACAGAAGCATTCTCAGAAACTTCTTTGGGATGTTTGCATTCAAGTCACAGAGTAGAACATTCCCTTTGGTAGAGCAGGTTTGAAACACTCTTTTTGTAGTATCTGGAAGTGGACATTTGGAGCGCTTTCAGGCCTATGTTGGAAAGGGAAATATCTTCCCGTAACAACTAGGCAGAAGCATTCTCAGAAACTTATTTGAGATGTGTGTACTCAACTAAGAGAATTGAACCACCGTTTTGAAGGCGCAGTTTTGAAACACTCTTTTTCTGGAATCTGCAAGAGTATATTTGCCTAGCCTTGACGATTTCGTTGGAAACGTGGTTGTCTTCAGATAAAATCTAGACAGAAGCATTCTCAGAAACTTCTTTGGGATGTTTGCATTCAAGTCACAGAGTAGAACATTCCCTTTGGTAGAGCAGGTTTGAAACACTCTTTTTTTAGTATATGGAAGTGGACATTTGGATCGCTTTCAGGCCTACGTTGGAAAAGGAAATATCTTCCCATAACGACTAGACAGAAGCATTCGCAGAAACTAGTTTCTGATGTGTGTCCTCAACTAACACAGTTGAACATTTCTTTAGACAGAACAGTTTTGAAACACTCTTTTTGTGGAATCTGCAAGTGGCTATTTGGCTAGATTTGAGAATTTCGTTGGAAACGGGATTACATATAAAAAGCAGACAGCCAGCATTCTCAGAAAGTTCTTTGTGATGATTGCATTCAAGTCACAGTAATTGAACATTCCCTTTCACAGTAGCAGGTTTGAAACACTCTTTTTGTAGTGTGTGTAAGTGGACATTTGGAGCACTTTCCGGCCTAAGGTGAAAAAGGAAATATCTTCCCATAAAAACTAGACAGAGCATTCTCAGAAACTTACTCGTGATGTGTGTCCTCAACTAAAGGAGTAGAACCTTTCTTTTCATAGAGAAGTTTTGAAACGCTCTTTTTGTGGAATCTGCAAGTGGATATTTGGCTAGTTTGGAGGATTTCGTTGGAAGCGGGAATTCATACAAATTGCAGACTGCAGCGTTCTGAGAAACATCTTTGTGATGTTTGTATTCAGGACACAGAGTTGAACATTCCCTATCATAGAGCAGGTTGGAATCACTCCTTTTGTAGTATCTGGAAGTGGACATTTGGAGCGCTTTCAGGCCTATGTTGGAAAAGGAAATATCTTCCCATAACAACAACACAGAAGCATTCTCAGAAACTTATTTGAGATGTGTGTACTCAACTAAGAGAATTGAACCACCGTTTTGAAGGAGCAGTTTTGAAACACTCTTTTTCTGGAATCTGCAAGTGGATATTTGGCTAGCTTTGGGGATTTCGCTGGAAGCGGGAATACATATAAAAAGCACACAGCAGCGTTCTGAGAAACTGCTTTCTGATGTTTGCATTCAAGTCAAAAGTTGAACACTCCCTTTCATAGAGCAGTCTTGAAACACCCCTTTTGTAGTATCTGGAACTGGACTTTTGGAGCGCTTTCAGGGCTAAGGTGAAAAAGGAAATATCTTCCCATAAAAACTGGACAGAAGCATTCTCAGAAACTTGTTTATGCTGTATCTACTCAACTAACAAAGTTGAACCTTTCTTTTGATAGAGCAGTTTTGAAATGCTCTTTTTGTGGAATCTGCAAGTGGATATTTGGCTAGTTTTGAGGATTTCGTTGGGAGCGGGAATTCATACAAATTGCAGACTGCAGCGTTCTGAGAAACATCTTTGTGATGTTTGTATTCAGGACAGAGAGTTGAACATTCCCTATCATAGAGCAGGTTGGAATCACTCCTTTTGTAGTATCTGGAAGTGGACATTTGGAGCGCTTTCAGGCCTATGTTGAAAAAGGAAATATCTTCCCATAACAACTAGACACAAGCATTCTCAGAAACTTGTTTGTGATGTGTGCCCTCTACTGACAGAGTTGAACCTTTCTTTTCATAGAGCAGTTTTGAAACACTCTTTTTGTAGAATCTGCAAGAGGATATTTGCATAGCTTTGAGTATTTCGTGGGAAACGGGATTGTCTTCAGGTAAAATCTAGACAGAAGCATTCTCAGAAACTTCTTTGGGATGTTTGCATTCAAGTCACAGAGTAGAACATTCCCTTTGGTAGAGCAGGTTTGAAACACTCTTTTTGTAGTATCTGGAAGTGGACATTTGGAGCGCTTTCAGGCCTATGTTGGAAAGGGAAATATCTTCCCGTAACAACTAGGCAGAAGCATTCTCAGAAACTTATTTGAGATGTGTGTACTCAACTAAGAGAATTGAACCACCGTTTTGAAGGAGCAGTTTTGAAACACTCTTTTTCTGGAATCTGCAAGAGGATATTTGCCTAGCCTTGAGGATTTCGTTGGAAACGGGATTGTCTTCAGATCAAATCTAGACAGAAGCATTCTCAGAAACTTCTTTGGGATGTTTGCATTCAAGTCAGAGAGTAGAACATTCCCTTTGGTAGAGCAGGTTTGAAACACTCTTTTTTTGGTATATGGAAGTGGACATTTGGAGCGCATTCAGGCCTACGATGGAAAAGGAAATATCTTCCCATAACAACTAGACAGAAGCATTCTCAGAAACTAGTTTCTGATGTGTGTCCTCAACTGACACAGTTGTACATTTCTTTAGACAGAACAGTTTTGAAACACTCTTTTTGTGGAATCTGCAAGTGGATATTGGGCTAGATTTGAGGATTTCGTTGGAAACGGGATTACATATAAAAAGCAGTCAGCAGCATTCTCAGAAAGTTCTTTGTGATGATTGCATTCAAGTCACAGAATTGAACATTCCCTTTCACAGAGCAGGTTTGAAACACTCTTTTTGTAGTGTGTGTAAG